>NC_000001.11:206669435-206820950 GCF_000001405.40 Homo sapiens
TGGACTCCTGGCCTCAAGCGTTCCTCATGCCTCAGCCTCCCAAGGGGCTGAGATTATAGGAGTGAGCCGCTGAGCCCAGCCAAGACTTCAATTTTTTTTAAATTTTACTTTTATTTTTTATTTCACCCTTGCCTCTTTTCTTGCTCTGTTGAATCACGCCATGGGAAGATGTGAGACTTAGAGCTGTTGCAGCCATCTTGCAACAATGAAATAATATGCTGAGCTGGATGGTGGAGAGGTCCTGTCTGCTGAGCATGGCAAAGCAGAGGACGGTCAGACCCGGATCCTTGATGGAGCTTGAGGACTTTGTTGAGCTGCTGAACAACCCGAGATCACCTCCCTTTAGCCTTGTTAAGAAACTATTAGCATCTTTATGATTTAAGCCATTGCCAGTTGTCTTTTCAGCTGCATGCGTCCTAACTGATATAGGATGGTTCTCATATTCTGGATCCAAGGTAATTTAGGCTGGTTTTTAAATGAGATTAGGGTACCAGTAAGACCTTTTGAAATGTTGAGGTAAACCATCTTTGACTGTGGTTTCTTCCCTAAAGTAGCACTCAAGGCCATCATTCTTTAAAACAATCCTGATTGTTTAAACAGACCAATTACTTTGCTATGGGTAATGAAGATTATGGAAGTCAGGCCTTTCTGCCTTTTTTGGTTGAAGCCAAGTCAAACTAAGCCTTCCAAGCAAGAGACACCCATTTGTCCTCTCCACAGCTTCTCATAATTATTTCCATGCCTTATTGATACATTGGGAAGTAAACCCTCCTAATTATTGCAATTGGCTACATTTTTATTGTAATATGAGATAAGACTTTGGATATCATGCTTTTCTCTAGAATTTAAGACAAAGGAACTCTCTAGACTGAGAGTTCAAAAGGCTGAGCTTTTGTCTAGAATGTGAGCCTAATGGAAAAGGCGAGATATTTGCAAGGGAGTCATTGCACGCATACTCAGCAAGCACAGACTGCTCCTCTCGGGGCTACTGAGGAGGGCACAGGTGACTGGGAATGGAGTATCTGCCCTTGAGAAATTGACAACTTGGGAGAAAAAAAAGTCCTCAAAAGTGACGAATAAAAGGCCAAGTATAACAAGCATCATAAAGGATGGATTGGAAAAGCACGGGGTTGAAGGCAAGGAATCTAGTTAGTGAGCTAGTGGAATATTCTAGGTGAGAGAAATCTAGGGCAGTTGCAGGGGAGATGGAAAAGAGGGCAGGATACAGGAGGCCTTGCTGAGATAGAGTCAGCAAGAATTGCCAGCTGATTAGATGTGGGATGTGAGGAGAGGGGTGAATAAAAGGACAAACCTCCTGAAACAACAGTGGGAGAGATTTTAACAAATCGTCTGTATTGTCTTCTAGGTATGGGGGGAGGATAGGAAGACAAGAAAAACATCTAGATCATGGTTCTCAAACTTTCATTTAGCTGAGGAATATCTTCTTCAACAAAGCCATCTACATACAGCCAATATATTTGGGGTAGAATGTGTTTTTTTCCCTCCCCTTTCCTTGTTTAGGAGTTGGGCATGCACCAGGGTAGGATAACAGAAGACAGCACAATTGTTCTGTGCAATGATTCGGGGAGGTTCTATGCAGGGCCAGCTTCATGGGCATGCAAGCCATGCATTGCACAGGGACCTGCATTTATAAGGACGCTGTGTGGGTTTAATACTCACTTGGAATTCTTTTCTTTTTTTCAAGACGGAGTCTTGCTCTGTCACCCACGCTGAAGTGCAGCGGCGCGATCTCCGCTCACAACAAGCTCCGCCTCCCGGGTTCACGGCCGTTCTCCTGCCTCAGCCTCCCAAGTAGCTGGGACTATAGGCGCCCGCCACCATGCCCGGCTAATTTTTTTTTTTTTTGTATTTTTAGTAGAGACGGGGTTTCACCGTGTTAGCCAGGATGGTCTTTATCTCCTGACCTCGTGATCCGCCCTCCTCGGCCTCCCAAAGTGCTGGGATTACAAGCATGAGCCACCGCGCCCAGCCTGGAATTCTTAATAATTTCTGAACAAGGTGCTATGCATGTTTATTTTGCACTGGGTCCGGCAAAGGAGCTAACTGGCCCTGAACAGAGGTAGGGAACTAAAGAAACTCGTCTTTTACAGGCTCGGAGATGCCAAGACAGCCAGGGTGGAAATGCATATGAATGATAATGTCCTAATAGTAGTAGTCTATTTCACAGGGTTGCTGCAAGTGTTGAATGAGAAAATATGTGGAAAGTGCTTAGAACAGTGTCTGGCACATAGGGAATGCTGTGGAAGTGTTTGATATCATTACTGTTCCCTCCTTGTACTGGTTCAACACCTGACAGCCTGAGGTTGATTATTCAAAGGGTCACAGTGGGCTTTTCTCATTTTCCCATTTCTAACCTGTCGCTCACCATCCAGCCCCAGGCTTATGATTGTCCTTTGGGGGAAAAAACTCCAACAACAATAATTATCACAATAAATACATAGGTGAGATCACATCCTCTCTTGATCCTTAGTGTAGCTAGCTGGTGCTTCAGGGTGTGTCTGTGTGCTCTGTGTGTCTTTGTTTGTGTCTGAGAGGGAGGTTTTTTTTTTTTCATTTAATTTTAATTCAATTAATTAGAGGCTCTCTCTGGTGGTTTCATTTTGTTTTTCTTTACCTGCCTTTTTGGTTCATATAGCGAGGACCCTGGAACCACCTGCTTCCTCCCTGCCACCGCTTCTCCTCAGGTCCCCAGGGGAAGCCAGGATCTAAAGGATGACTGTGTCACCATTGTCCTCAAGATAATGGCTCCCTCCCCCGCTTCCCTCCACTCCTATCTCATTCTCTTGAGCCTGTGGAGTGTTCAACCTTTGTCCTTCGAGTATAACCCTTTACTGGCGATAAAAAATTAAAATACTGGCTCAACACCTCTACTCCACGAAGCTGTTGTCTTGACCAAAGTCTGAAAGCTGCCCCTCCTACCCCTATTCTAATCTTAGACATTCCCAGCACATTCTTAGTAAGAGGGAACTCTCTCTCATTGTCCTAGGATTTTAAGTCTGCAAGAACTACGCATTTTTTTTTCCTTAGCAGAAGCAGTTGTACTTTTTCCTGACAACTTTGCAAGTTCCCCATAAAGTTGGAAATTCCCTTCCTCGTTACAGCTCTTGATAGATGCAGAAGAAGCCTAGTCTGGACCTGTCTTCTCTCCTGACCTGCTGTGTAACTCTTGGGAAGTTAGTTTAAATGTTTTTGGGCCTCAGATCACAGAGATTAACTTGACTGGGGACAGACTGAAGGCTGAAAAGTGTTTGGGAATGATTTATTTTTAGAGGACCTTGGGAGAAGGGTTTTACAAATGTCTCTAAGGTAAGAATAGCCATTTGGGGAGTTACCAAGACACTTAGATTCCCCCTCCTGAAAAAATGAGTTTAATAATTTCCATTGCTAATTTCTATGTCCCCACCCTTTCCTCCAAGCCTGCCTCCACCCTCAGCTGTTGATTGATGGAGTAGATGTGCTCTACTCCCCCTCCCACTGATGCACACACTTCTGGGAGGCCCTATATAAATAGAAGCCAGAGGCAAGGCTGCAGAATTATTATTATCATTATGATGATGATTATGTTTTCAGCATGAGAAACAGGAAGTGAAACTGACTAAAATGCCCAGTGATATGTGGCTGACCCTGTCTCCTCAGCTGGACCTAAAGGCAAAGGAGAAACTGGCCAAAGAAAACTGTAGCCCTGCCACAAGCTTTAACAACTTCTGGTGGTGTGTGTGTGTGTGTGTGTGTGTGTGCGTGCGTGTGTGTGTGTTACAAGGAGTGTCTTTAAATAAGCAGCTTCTAGAACTTGTGATCTTTCAACCTTATTTTTATGCCCAAGCTTCCCTCTTCATGTGATATCCTCAGAGTTCTTCCTTACTACTTCCTTCCCCATTTCCTAGAGAGAGCTTCTCACGGCTGTCAGAAGATGTTAAAGGAGAAGTCCAATGATTAATTACTTCCCACTACACATGCCTTATCTGCCCAGGCCAGGTCTGAGCTGTGTGCCTTTCTTGATCACCGGGTCTGTCTCCAGGGCAGACATATTCCCTGGGCCCCCAAGGCCTTTCTTCCCTCTCCCTTCAGGGGGCCATGTTTTCTCTTCTGCCTCACTGCTTGAGGCTCCATCTGCTTGGTTGATTATTCATGTCCTTTGTCTTTTTCAGGAATCGATTATGGATAAATGGTAGTTAGAAAACAGGGCTTCAGGGCCGATGTAATTATCCCACTTTGACATTTCCATTTTCAGCACCATGGCCTCTGGAAACACTGACACAGTGAAAATGACCTGATTTTCATACTACCTTGTTAGTTCAACTTCCTAGGGAGAAAAAAGCAGGCAGCTATGTGGAGAGTAAATGAACCAAGTTGGTGTTTCAGAAACGCCTCCTCATTTGGACAATATTCTGAAAAAAAAAATGCATAGGAAACAGAAGAGAAAAAGGCATCTGCGGGGGATAGCAAAGAAAGAGAAAGAAAGAGCATTTCAGCTGTGCAGGGCATTGGGCTCACATTCTGGTCCCTGGGCCCACACCTTTTTTATGGCTTTCATACCAAGATCTCGAGCTAGATTAATAGATTATTGGAATTTTGGGTTGGGAAAAACATAACTGTCTTATTCTCGCTATAATTTTTTCTGAGCCTAGAATAGGGGGTCCAGCGAAGTCCACCCAGGAGCTGGGATGGAGGATGAGGATCATAACAAGGTACTTGATTGAGGAAGAACAACTCTAGTATGGAGCTTTATGCCCCAAATTGCAGCAGTTATGAGTCTTACTCCCTGCATAGGAGAACATGGTGGCTGAGAAGACAGGTGTTAGTTAGGTCCCGGCTTTCTGCATTCAAATCCCCACTCCAGACCTTACTTTAAGTTGCTTAAATTCAATGGGCCTCAGTTTCCTCATCTGGGCCCCTGGAAGGATGTTAGTAACACCTATCTTGCAGGGTTGTTATGGGGCATTGATTGAGTCAACACCTGGAATCACAGGCATTGTAGGAACATAATAGGTGCTCACTAAAAGAGAGCTATTACCGTGAACTTTTAAATTTGTCTTTGTCTATGTGCCATTCACTATCCTCCATTTCATCCATCCAGCAAAAATACAAATGCCATATTCTGTGACAGGCGCTGGGCAAGTCACCAGGGATAGACACAAAGCAGAATATAAATCTTGTCAGAGGATTTATCCTCCCCAGGTTTCTCTTATTTCTTAATCCAGAGCAGAACACATAACAAGTTTGAACCCAATTTTCACTGTTCCTTGGTCCTGTTCCTCACCCATTCTCTCCATTTGCTTTTTCTGCTTCCTTGCTCTTTCTTTCCCAACTCTGTAGGAAGATAGGCCCCAGGTATCTCTGCCAAGGAAGGTCCCTGGAATCCTGCCAGGCTCTTCTAGGACTTGTCTTGGTGAGGGAGCCCTGGGAGGGGCAGGTCCCCAGGGAAGCCTGTTGCTCCTCTCACTCAGCAATCCCTCTTGGGCCAGGCTCCCCTTCCCAGGCCCTCAGCTCTCCCACAAGATCTCTGGGGAAGCTGGAAGAGGGCCACTAGGCCCTGTAATAACCACACTTCTTCATGGTAAACAAGAACCAGATTCCTGGGGAGTGACGCAGGCAGGAGCTCTGTGGCTGAGGCAGCTGTGATTATACCAAGACATGAAGAAACACCTCTTGCTCAGCCTTGGCCTGCTTGGGGAAGGCCCAGGAGAGAAGCTGCCCATGTGTCCCTCTTTGCTACCCTTCTAGTCATTCTTGGCCTGAATTACAGGGGCCTTGGCACCAATTGGCTCTGCAGACACAAGTGGGCAACCATCAGCCCCGATCTCCCAACCAGACTAGGTTCCTCCATCACCTCTCCTTTTCTAGGATTTTCCCCACCCTCTCCCCTACTCATGTGTCTGACTCCCACCCTTGGCTGTCATCCTGCACTCCCTGTGCCTTCCTTCTTGAGGGAGAATCATGCATGTCCCTCACCAATGCCAGTCGAAGCCTTAGGCTCCTGTGCAGAGGCCTTGATCCTGGGCACCCAGGAATGAAGCTGCCCTGAAGGGGCACTGGCCCACAGGCTGTCAAAGCTGGTCCAGGGCCTTCATCTTCACAATGTGACTTCTGAGTGTAGGATCAGTTCTCCTGGATGTTTAGGCCAAGCACAGTTCTTGCTAGTTCTTAGATGGAATGTTGAACTGGCTTAAATACTTCTAGGATACACAAGAAACTGGGGTGGGGAACTGGGTGGCTGAGGGCTTGGGTGGCTGAGGGCTTAGTTGGCCAGGGAGACATTTTACAAGCTACCCTTTAGGGCTTTTGCATTTTGTACCATGTGAATGTATTAAAAGTTTTCAAAAAAAAGAATTCTGTGATCTTGTAAACCTCTTGTATGTCAGATATAGAGAATTTCTGGCCCCTGTCCTCATGGTGGAAGGGAGAGTGGGATAGTTGTGTGGAAAAGGCCTCATTTGGGTCAGACTTCAGGCTTAGAAGGGGCTGACAAGGGCAGGTGTCTGCTTGGGTTTGAGATTTTCTGAGCATCTGAATGACTTAGAATCTTGCACAAGGAGGATAGTGTTGTTGAGTGTGATGGTCCTGGAGGGAGGAGGATGGGCCTGAGCTTCTGTCCAGGCCTAGAAGTACATTTGACTTTCTGTGTCTATGAATTTGACTACTTAGGTACCTCAGATAAGTGGAATCATATAATATTTGTCTTTTTGTGTCTGGCTTATTTTATTAGCGCAATATTTGCAAGGTTAGTCCATGTTATGGCGTGTATCAGAATTTCCTTTTTTTTGAGATGGAGTCTTGCTCTGTCGCCTAGGCTGGAGTGGTATATATATATATATCTGTTCCATTCTTTTTGGTGTATCCCCAGAAGTGTAATTGCTAAATCATATGGTAATTCTATGTTTAATTTTTTGAGGACCTGCCATACTATTTCCACAACAGCTGCACCATTTTGCATTCTCACTGGCAGTGCACGAGAGTTCCAATTTCTCCACATTTTAGCTAACACTTATTTTCTGGGTTTGTTTTTATTTTAGTAATAGCCATTCCAATGGGGATAGCCTTGAGAAGGTTTAAGCATGGTGCCCTGGGGCTCATAAATGGGAGAGATATATGCAGGAAGCCCTCATCTAGATGGTGACATTTGACCTGGGCCTCTAAGCATGGGCAAGAATTCTCCAGGTGGAGGAGGAAAACCACATAGGAGAAAGGCTTAACGAAAAAAGGAACGGAGAGAGACAAGAAACTGCATGGCCTGTTTAGAGGCAGCAGGTGGTTAGCACCAGCAAGAAGATAGGGTTTGTAGGGGAGGGTGTCAAGTTGTAAGGCTAGAGGCAGATTTAAGGGCTAGAAATTCCTCTCAGGCTTTGGACTCTGGTCAATAGGGAGCTATTGGTAATGTATGTGAAAGTGTTGTGCAAACTTCAATACAGTTTATAAGTATAAGAATTTAGAATACAAAGGAGAGAAATGTTTTTAAAGAAACAAAGTGTGGCTGGGCATGGTGTCTCATGCCTGTAATCCCAGCATTTTGGGAGGCCAAGGCAGGCAGATCATTTGAGGTCAGGAATTTGAGACCAGCCTGGCCAACGTGGTGAAACCCTGTCTGTACTAAAGATACAAAAATTAGCCTGGTGTGGTTGCATGCGCCTGTAATCCCAGTTACTTGGGAGGCTGAGGCACAAGATAGAGAATCGCTTGAACCCGGGAGGCGGAAGTTGCAGTGAGCTGAGATCATGCCACTGCACTCCAGCCTGGGCAACAGAGCAAGACTCAGTCTCAAAAAAAGAAACAAAAGTACTAAGATCAATGCACAATGCCTGCTGTGTATTACACAATATGGAAGTAGTGTCTGGCATTCATCTAGGAGAATCTTGGGTACCCATGGTGCTGGCACTGCCCCATTCCCTCCCTGTCAGCTCCCAAATACAAGGCTAACCAAATAGCACAGAGGGCCTGCCCCTGTTGACCTCCCTGGGTCAGGAGGGCTCCTGTTGTCCATTAAGTGGGACAATCATGAAGCCATCACAATTCCCTGCAGCCTCAACCTTTTAGGCTCAAGCAATCCTCCCACCTCAGCCACCTGAGTAGCTGGGACTACAGGCTCCTGCCACCATCCCCAGCTATTTTTTTTTTTTTTGTAGAAACAAGGTCTTGCTTTTTTGCCCAGACTGGTCTTGAACTCCTGGTCTCAAGTGATCCTCTTGCCTTGGCCTCCCAAAGTGCTGAGATAATAGGCATGAGCCACTGCACCCAGTGTACACTCTCGTGGTACAATAAATGTGCACCAGAAGTTCTGAGAGCCTAGTTTGTCTTTTTCTTTTTTTTTTCTTTGAGATGGAGTCTCACTCTGTCGCCAGGGCTGAAGTGCAATGGTGTGATCTCCACTCACTGCAACCTCCGTCTCCTGGGTTCAAGTGATTTCTCCTGCCTCAGCCTCCCTAGTAGTTGAGACTACAGGCACACACCACCACGCCCAGCTAATTTTTGTATGTTTTGTAGAGACAGTTTTTTTGCCATGTTGGCCATGCTGGCCTCAAACTCCTGATCTCAAGTGGTCCACCTGCCTCAGCCTCCCAAAGTGCTGAGATTACAGGCGTGAGCCACTGCACCTGGGTTAAGAGCCTAGTTTTTAAAGTCACACACCTACCTGTCTATATGATGGTGTAGAGGTGGTCTTTGGAGGAAAGGGACAGATTGATCTGTACATGTCCCTTTTGTCTCTACAATGTTGTAGTTTTCACCACTTCATAAGCAATGTGGGAGGAAAAATTAGGTCCTACTTCGATCTGTCATGGAATGAACAAAAACAAAACAAAATATAGTGTGTATATATATATATATATAGTGTATATATATATATAAGTGTATATATAGTGTGTATATATATATAGTGTGTGTATATATAGTGTGTGTGTATATATGTATATACAATACACGTATGCTACATAAATTATCTCACATATACCTCAAATATTTAGGTACTTCCTCAAAAGTTTACAAATGCTAAGATTCCAAACCCATTAATGCTCAAATGACTCTATTCATTGCCTTTAACTGTCTGTCTTAGTGGTAGGGACAGTCTCTGGAAGTTCTGAGTAAGTTGCAGTTGCAGACTGTCTCCTTCTCCTGAGCCATGCACACAGGCTGGGATGGCTTCCCCAGGTCGGCCTGGCAGGTGTCAGCTAGCTGGACCACTTTTAAGAGCATTTAGGAACATAGGCTTTGACACATGTGGAAACAGATCTTCCCCATCTAGTTGTGTGATGACTGGCTGTTATTTAACCTTTCTGAGCCACGTTTTCACTGATCAAAATACCGGAAATACTACTACTTAGAGCATTGTTGAGAAGATTGAATGAGATGGTTAGTATGAAAGTACCTGCTGCATAGTAACTGCTCACATTTATAGAGGCCAAGTACTATGTGCCAGAAACCATTGAAAATGTTACTCCTGTATTTAATCTAGGGAATATTATTCCATCCTTCATTATACAAACAGTACAATGAAGTGCAGTTAAGTATAGTAGTGAATAATGAGGTGGGATTAGAACCCAGGATTTGATTCCACCATGCTCTACTGCCTCAAAGTTAAGTTCTCATGTGAAGCTATGGATCATTATACCCTTAGGAAATCTCTACCCATTCCACATATACATGTGTATGTCTCTCCCCTACCTTTTCTACCCTTCCACTTCCATTTACTTATCTTAAGCAAGGGAGAAAAATCCAGGCATCACCAGGTCACCAGGTAAGAACCTGATGATCCTTTTGGTTGACCCACCTTGATTGTGTTCCTAGATAGTTCCCCCTTTCCTCTCCTCCTTTCCCAATCATTGTCCAGGCTGTTACTCATCTAAGTAGCAACTGATATGCCAGATATAAGCTAGGTTGGAGGGCAATGCTTTTAATACAAGGACAACAGCCTTGGAAGCCTTCTTGAATACAGGTGGATATTTGCCTCTCTTCCCTACATTTCCCATTGTAAACTGTGGATTTAGCATTAGACATCCTGGCCAGGTGTGGTGGCTCACGCCTGTAATCCCAGCACTTTAGGAGACCAAGGCGGGCGGATCACCTGAGGTCAGGAGTTCGAGAACAGCCTGATCAACATGGTGAAACCCCGTCTCTACTAAAAATACAAAAATTAGCCAGGTGTAGTGGCAGTTGCCTGTAATCCCAGCTACTCGGGAGGCTGAGCCAGGAGAATTGCTTGAACTCGGGAGACGGAGGTTGCAGTGAGCCAAGATCGTGTCATTGCACTCCAGCCTGGGCAACAAAGCAAGACTCCATCTCAAAAAAAAAAAAAAAAAAGAATTAGGCATACTGTAGTCCTAATTACTCTCATTTGTAGTCCCTTTGGACCATATTATGTCTGTTGATGTGCAGAGGTGAAGTTTCTGTTCCCCTTTGGGTACTTCCTTCTTTCTCTTTCTATTCGCATTCTTTGCCACTGCCCCAGCTGTTCCCTGCCGTGGCATTAAACTATCAAAGGATGAAGTGCAGATGAGGGCACGGAGGGCACCAAGGGCACCGTGGGTGGGGGAAGGATTTTTCCCCTCTGGGATGTCTTAACTAGGGCATTACCAATGGCACTTGCTATGGGTAGAATTCCTTTCTGTGAGGCAGCCGTTAACACCTTCAGAAAGAGCTAAGATAGAAGGGATGATAGAGGCCATCCTGACCAATATTTTGAGGTCATTTTCTGGGTCAGAAATTTTTGTGACTGAGTCTTATGTATATATATCTGTCACTTTTGCTTTGGGGGAATTTCTCATTTTATCACAGAAATACTAGCCTATGACATGAAGACTATTTCTCTCTGGCTCTAAGCCATTTTTCTTTCCAAGAGTGGGTTTTTAGTGGACAGAGCTTCTTCTGTAAATCATGCTCCTTCTTGCAATATTTTGTTTGCGGTACTAGCAGTGGATACAAAGGCTGCTTTATCTGTGTTCATGCGCAGATCCGCCAGCCTGTGGATGATCCTCACTCATCAAGAGAGTGTTAGCTGAAAATTTCCAAGAGATCCACCTCCATAAATTTCCACCCTCTGTCACTCATTCATAATGCCACGTCATAGTAAAACAGGAAACTTTTACTCCATGATGGTGTGAAGGCTGTGTGGGGGAATCTTGAAGAAAAAGATTGTCACAATGTATCCTATCATATAACCCAGTCATGCAAATTAACATAGACCTATATTCTGTAACAGATTAGGCCAAGATGGAAGGAAATTGAGGTGTGGAAAATTTATGTTGCTCTAAAATGGAAAGAATAGCCCATACCTCTTCAGGCAATTCCTGCCCAGAAATAGCAGATATCATATTTCTGACATTAAGAAGGATATGTGAGTATATGTCTGCTCAGGATCTATAGTAAGGACCATGAGCATGGACTTTGGGTCAGAAAGATTTGGGTCCTGTCCTTCGCTAGTGGAATGACTCTGAGAAAGTTATTTAATTTCTCTGGGACTCAGTTTTCTTGTTTATACAACAGATAAGTGAGGATAACAGTACAGACCTCATAGGGCTGTGTAAGAGTAGGATAAGGTTTGGCTGTGAATGATAGAAAACCTAGACCATCAGTCACTTCAACAAGAAGGCCATTTATTGTTCTTTCATATAAAAGTCTGGGTAGGTGGCTCATTGCTGATATGATGGATCCAGGTTCACCAGTATACAGACTCTTTCTGTCCTTTTGTTCTGTCTTCCTCAACCTGTAACCTCCAATTCACCATCCAAGATGGCTACAGCTGTGAAATTTTTATTCCAGTCAGCAGGAAAGAAAAAAGAGAAGGAGAAGAAGAAGGACATACTTCTTTCCATAAACCACTTCCACTTACAAGTCATTGGTTATAACTTAATCTTATGAATGTAACCGGCTATAGTGGAGGCTGCTCAAGTGGGAAATGTAATTTTTATTCCAGGCAGTCTTGTGCTTAGCTAAATATGGGGTGCTCTTTACTATCAAAGAGAGGAAAAAAAGGTGTTAGCCCACCCAACTAGCAATCTCAGCCACGGATCATCATGAGATTTAAATGAGACAATGCAGGTAGAGGGTTGAGCACAGTGTTGGGCACTCAGGAAGCACTCAAAAAACATTGTCATCGTCATCATCATCATCATCATCAACATCATCATCACCATCATCATGAGAAGGTGAGGAATACTTTGAAACTGTGACAAGGCATTTTCTTATTTTAACCTGGTCTTGCTGCTAACATCACCCTTGGCCACCTCCCTTTTAAGGTGATTTGAGTTTCATCTTTTATGATACCTTTGAACATGCCTTCATGAAACAAAACTATATAAAAAGGAAAGCAAGGGAAAGGTGAACATAGGACTCAGGATGATGGGGTCTTGGGCCATGAAAATGGAGGGGTTGGGGGAGTGTGTGTGGAGGAATCATCTAGTTAGATGTAAATTATTGTCGAAGTTCTAGTTTTTATTTTGGGTAGTGGATTCACAGGTGCTTACTGCATTATTAAAAATAATTATTAACTAACAATAAAAGTGGAGCTGCATGGATCAATGATCCAATGACGAGAGTGTGTCATGAATCAAGGATTATAATTAATCCATTTCTATGTACCTGAGGTCCTTAAATTGTCTTTGTGTGTACTATATTGCATGGCATATGTGTTTGCATGTTAATAGTAGATAAAAATAGTACTTTCTATTTGCATAGACTTTCAAGTTTTAAAGCGCTTTTACACATCCATAAAAACTGTTTATTAAGTAGTTCATTACAGATGGCTAAGAGCCTGGTGTTACACAAATAGGACTTTGGACTGCTTCCTGTAGGAAAGTTTTTATTTTATCCTTGCACAAGCCCTACAAAGTAGGCAAGGCAGATGTTATTGTCACTATTTTGCAGATGAGAAGGAAGGAACTGAGAGAGCAAGGGGCTCTCATGAGGTTACATAGCGAGTCAGTATCAGAATGGAACTTAAGACTCAGGATCTCTTGGCCAGTGCTTCTGCATTTAGCACATCTTACTCCTCAATTATTCATCCACTAGGCGTTTATTCTGTTACATGGCACATTGTGCTCATGTGTTGTGTTCATATATGTGTGTGTTTTCTGGTGCTGTGTGTGCAGTTCATATAATCTCTATCCACTATGTATGTACCCTCAGAGTCCCTGTGTGCCCCCTAGGCCTATTTGGCTCTTGCAGCTCCGGGAGGACTCTCAGGTGGGAATTCAGTTGTCCTGTTATTCCTAGATCATTGGGCCTCACCATCTCCCTGGAGCTCCAGCTAGGTAGGAAAGCAGCTTTGATATCAGGAATAGATCCGTAGGCCATGAGCACAGAGCAGAGGAGCAAGCCAGCAATGTCTAAATAATGGTGATATTTAATATTTCATGATAATGTATAGTTTATGCTTTAGGATGTGTTCTCATAATTACTATTTCATTTTATTCTCTCTCAGCCCCGAAAGTAGATTTTGTTGTTTTTTTCTTTTCTTTTTCAGATGCTGAGAGATGTTACATGTCTTGCTCAAGGTAACCCAGTTGGAGGACAGTCTTGGCTTCAGCTCATTTGTCTCTAGATCCTGTCATCTTACCACTGTGCCTTGCTGCCTCTGAAAAGGCAGAAGGAAGTTATTCTCTTTCTAGCTTTGTGGAGAAAAGCAGGTGATACCTCAACACCAAGCCATAGGGAGCTTCCAGTGACTCTGCAAAGAAAAAAAAGACCAACTCAGACTCCAGAGCAGCCCCACCAGAGCCTGAGCAGTTGGAGCCTTCCACCTTCCCACCCCTGCGTTCCTCTTGTCCTTGGGCATCTCCTGTGTGTGCTTCGGGGAGGTGATAGCAGTGCTATAGAAGTAGTGGAGTGAAGATGTTTTCCTATCCCCGTGGCCTTAGATAGTGTCTTTGTCTTTGAAGAGTCAGGGGCATCTGGGGAGCTGTCTAACCGTATCTATCCTGTAGACTCGGGAGGAAGCTGCTGGCTGCTGTAGACAGAAGAGAATCCCTGTGCTTCGGGCTCCTAGGAAGGTGTCTGCCATCCTCTCTGTGCCACTGTTATCTGTCTTCTTCCCCATCAGATAACACCATCCACCGCTGCAGGGCTGAGCACGGCACCTTGTACATGGAGCTAAGCAGATGCTGCTTGAGAAGAGCATATGTTTGTGTCGGGGGAAACATGTCTCTCCTTGGTCCACAGAGCCCTACCTGCCCCAGGAAAGGACAGTGTTGGGAGGGTAACTCCCACCCCTCACTCCTCCCCCTCATTCCTGCCTCCACAAGCATCTTCTGGGAAAGGTGAATGAGGGAAGAGACATTTGCACTTGTCCCTTACCTACCTAAGTTCTATCCCCAGTGGCCACTTCTGGGGGTGTTGTCTTCTCTCTGGAGTTTTGGGGGACCTATTAGGGGGCATGTGTGGCCATAGGTCAAGCCTCATTCTCTAACTGGCCTTACCAAGACTTAAGCTGAGGTTTTGTGTTCACCTGTCTGGGTTGCTTGCCATTTCTCAAATGTTCTGCCAGTCAGAGGTGGGAGGAGGTCGGCAGGAATGTACTTGGTCATCTCGAACCCCATCAGAATGTGTGTGGAGGCCTCCTGGCAGCTTCTATGCAGGGTCCAGCTAGATCCCTGGGCTTTTCCTGAGATACACGGGGCTAACCCACTTCTTACGGATTAATTTTTCCACATCGGAAATCAGAAGCCATTCCCCAGGGCCTCCCCTTCAGTTTCATTATCTCCTTTGACTCTGCCCACAACCTTTGAAAAGGTCTCGCTGTTCTTCCCACGGAGAGAGAGGTGCAAGGCTTGCTCAGCCTCACACAGCCAATCCGTGGCAAAGGATGGCGGGAATTCAGGTGGCCCCAATCTCAACCCATCCTCTTCCCACCCTGTATCCTTTTTAGTTTATTTACAGGAAAACATGTTCAAAGGTATAATTACTAAAGTGCTCCTGGTTACACAATAATACGTCTTTACTGAAAAACAATAAATTAATGAGAAAAGAGATGCAAAAAACCTCAGAGGAAAATGTTGAAGTTAGGGAAATATTTAATACGCCCGCCTTTGGCTCACACCTTTTCCTGGGATGAATGACCCCTGTGATTCCAGCTCCCCCCCACCCCCACGAGGTCTCATCTAGCTGGATACCTACAAGCCATCCCTGTCCTTGGAAATACACCCCTCTCCCAATTCGCTGCCGCTAAGAAGCCCAGACAATTGGAGAGGAGTGGATTTTCCATCTGAATTATGCAGCTCCTTTGACACGCCTCCCCTCTCCCTTTGCATAGCCTTGGTTAAGAACTAGCATTTCTTCGTCCCCTCTCCCTGTCCCCTCTCACTGTCCGCGAGGCAGCAGCCCCCAGCCTACTCCGCGATCCTCCCAGCTCCCGGCACCGCGCGTCCTCCCCTTTAAGGCCCGCCCCTCCCCCCACGCCACGCCTCCCCAGGCCCCGCCCCCCGCCCCTCCCCTTTAAGGACCGGCCCCGGACGCAGACGAGGCTGTGACGCGGCCGCCGGCCCGGGGCTGGGTACATTGTCGCGCGGCCGCTTCCCCCCGGCCGGGCCCCCGCCGCCCCGCGGTCCCCAGAGCGCCAGGCCCCCGGGGGGAGGGAGGGAGGGCGCCGGGCCGGTGGGAGCCAGCGGCGCGCGGTGGGACCCACGGAGCCCCGCGACCCGCCGAGCCTGGAGCCGGGCCGGGTCGGGGAAGCCGGCTCCAGCCCGGAGCGAACTTCGCAGCCCGTCGGGGGGCGGCGGGGAGGGGGCCCGGAGCCGGAGGAGGGGGCGGCCGCGGGCACCCCCGCCTGTGCCCCGGCGTCCCCGGGCACCATGCTGTCCAACTCCCAGGGCCAGAGCCCGCCGGTGCCGTTCCCCGCCCCGGCCCCGCCGCCGCAGCCCCCCACCCCTGCCCTGCCGCACCCCCCGGCGCAGCCGCCGCCGCCGCCCCCGCAGCAGTTCCCGCAGTTCCACGTCAAGTCCGGCCTGCAGATCAAGAAGAACGCCATCATCGATGACTACAAGGTCACCAGCCAGGTCCTGGGGCTGGGCATCAACGGCAAAGTTTTGCAGATCTTCAACAAGAGGACCCAGGAGAAATTCGCCCTCAAAGTAGGTCTGGGGCCCGGGGAGGGGAGGCGGGGCCGGTCCCGGGCCCTGGAGCTCCACGGCGTCGGGTGCCCGTCCCGGCCTGGGTCGCGGCGCGGGGCGGAGGGGTGGCCGCGGCGGGGCGGGGCGGGGCGGCCGGGCCGGCGGTGCCGAGTGCGGCGCGGGCGGCGGGTCCCAGCGCCCTCGCCTCCCTGACCGCTTCCGGCCGCTCCCGGGCGGGAGCCCTGGGACCCGCTCCTGGGGACTCAGGGGACCCTGCCATTTTGGGGTTTGAGCGGGATCCAGCCGAGTCAGAACGGTTGGCTTCGGGACTTCTGCTAATTTCACTCCATCTCAAGGAAGTGATTTTGGGGTTGGTGGTTCCCCGTCCTCTCCTCCCTCCTTTTTCTCTCTCTGCGGGCACAAAAGGCCCATTACTCATTGAGCCGGTTGGTCGGTTGGTTTGGAGAAGTCGGATCGCAGAGGTTTATTTAGCCTCGCTCCTTATTTGGGAGCCGGAATGTGTGATTTCACTTCCCCGAGCCTCGCGAGGGCAGCCGGGCCGCCTTGGGGCGCGCCGGGCAGGAGGTGTGCGGCGGGAGGGTCCTGGGTGTCCCCCGGCTGCGGGGGCGGGATTATTTGGATCCCGGAGCTGGCCCCCTCAGCTGGCCCCCTCCCACGCCCGCGCGGGGCGGCTCCGGGGAGAGGCCGGCGGTGTCCGCGGCCCGGCTGATCATTGTGAACAGAGTCTGTAACCCGCGGCCGGGCCCGTGCTGATTCCGCCTCCTAGAGAGGGCCACTTGCTGTCCTGGACTCGCGCCGTGATGGGCAGTCTGAGGAAACATTATCCTTGAGCCGGGGGAGCCCATCCCTTTTCTTTCTTTAAGGGGTGTGGTGGTGGGGAGAATAAGGATTCAAGTGAGAATATCGACTTCAGAAGTTAAACACAATGGACTGGGAGGTCTCATGAGATGGGTGGGTCCGCAGTGAAGTGTGAGCCGGTCTTGCAGGGTCACCAACAAGGTTTTCCTCTCACAGGGGTTTCAGGTCAAACCAATCTCTAAAGGTGACGCCTCAGGTCTGTTTCCCCTGGGGTGTCTCAATGATTGGAGGAGGAGAAAAATACTTCCTGTGTTATATTTTTCTCTTCCCCTTCAGCCCCCACAGCGAGCTGTATTTCAGTTGTCAAGTACAAAACTCAGAAATGTGGTATGGGTGGAACTATTGGAATATACGATCAGATGTTTTAAAAGAAACACCAGTACTTCGGGGTTGTACGGGGCAAGCATGTTCCATTTCTAGATTTTAAGGCCTCTAGAATTGTTTTCCTGCTGCTCTCATACTCAACCCTGTTACAGTGCTTTGCTTTCTACTGTAAGTTATTGCTCTGGGATCTCGGTTGTTGTTTAGTGTTGACTGTTGGAGAGGGGATAAGTATCTTCAACACTTCAACATTTGTGTCTTAGACTTCTCTTTCCCTACTCATAACTGAAGGGAAAGGAGGAGGAGGAGTTGTTTGGATTGAGCATGGCTCTGACCTTGGGGACTGGAGTTGGGTGAATACAGTTTGACCACAGTTAACCTGTATCATTGAGGAAGTGACAGACGGTCTTTACAGGAGTGTTTGCTGTCCCCTCTGAGACACCATCTGCCTTCACCCATTAGTAGTTTGGGGACACTGGCTGTTCATTCTCTTGGATATTTGGAATATTATGTAAAGACTTCAGAACAAAAGCTCCCAACTTCTGCTCTGTATTCTGTTTAATAGACACACGCACAAAATCATCCTATAAAATGCTTTTGAGTGGCAATTCAGATTTCTCTTGTAACTAACGAGAGAGAGGTTTACATATTTTTCTACTTTGAATAGTTTTGGAAGGAAAAATCCAGCAGCGTGTTAAATAACACTCATAGTTTATCCCTCTCAGGTTAGAAGTGGGCGAAGAGTGAAGTCAGTCTGTTTTGACAGGCAGCCTGCTCCCAGATCTTTTAAGTTGACTCAACTGTTAAATTGTGGATTTCCCACACACGTCTTTGTGTTAAAACTTAATAATGGAGGAAGAAAGGAGAGACAAGGCATTTGGAGACTGACAGCAGTGTTAACAGCACTTCCATATCCAAATATTGGCTGAGACATAATTACAGCTGTGGGGGGAATCTGGTTCAAAGAACGCTGTTCCAGAGACACACACCAAAGAGATTTCTAGATCTTGAATTTTGATTAACCTCAGGTGCTGAGTAGTGAAATGGTTTTCAAAACCAGAAGTCTAGTGATTATAAAGCAGGAGAGGAAGATGGAGTGGGGCAAGAGGGATTACCCCCTTGGGAAGGTGCCTGAGAAAAGGGGAGGAGACCTCTATTCTACAGTGTGCCGAGGCCAATGCTGGGGGCTAGGGCAGAGCTGGAGGGCAGGAGCCCAGCCTCTGCTGGGGTTCAGAAGTCTGCTATGTTGCAGCCCTGAGAGTTGATGGGAGCTGGCAGCTGCTTAGATGCTCTCCTCTCTGCCTATAGTCGGTGACCTCTTAGCCCTGTTAAGTGAAATCAGCATTTGAAAAAGAGTCCCAGCTCACCCTGCTGCTTCTCTCCCTCCACCTCAGAGAGCTCCCATTTAAATGCTTTTGGTGGGTGCTTTGACCTCACCTCACCATCTCTCCTGGCTGCTTTTGCTAAGTTCTGAGTCATGCTTCCAGTCAGAGTTGCAAGGGACTTGAAAGGTCATTTTGTCCAGCCCCCTTATTTTGCAGAAGAGAAAACCAAGGCCCAGAGTGAGGGAGTGACTTGTTCAAGGTACCATAGCCATTCACTTGGCAGAGGCAGGATTGGAACCCAGGTTGCCTGACTCCCAGTCTCAGGCTTCTTCCCACTTACTTCCTAACTGAGCCACGGGCTCAGGCACATGGCCACCTGCTGCTCCAGGGTGCTTCCAGCCTGAGGAGCTGTTCTGTCACCTCAGGCCCTGACTGACAAGAGGGGAGGTCAGCGAAGGGGGCTGGATGGGTATTTGCTGCTCCTGAGAACAGTCCCCAAAGTTGGAGGGGAACTTCAACAGTAGCTTCATGCATTTTTTTAACCACTCCCTCCCCCTTTTAAGAGAGTATTTGATAGGCACCTTACTTACTATTTTTTGTACAAGAACATGGGAATTCTATTATTTTTATTTTTATTTTTTTTGAGACAGAGTGTTGCTCTGTCGCCCAGGTTAGAGTGCAGTAGCACGATCTTGGCTCACTGCAAGCTCTGCTTCCCAGGTCCACGCCATTCTGCCTCAGCCTCCTGAGTAGCTGGGACTACAGGCGCCCGTCACCATGCCCGGCTAATTTTTTGTATTTTTAGTAGAGATGGGGTTTCACTGTGTTATTCAGGATGGTCTTGATCTCCTGACCTCGTGATCTGCCTGCCTCAGCCTGCCTAAGTGCTGGGATTACAGGTGTGAGCTACCGCGCCCGGCCTGTATTACTTCTTTGATAAGGACACCTAGTCTCAACCCACTTGTGTATTAATTAGTTGTATTCCCCGGGAGGGTTCCTCAGCTGCTTGCCGCTTCACTGTGTCATGGTGACCCTTAGGTGTTAGCTCAACAAATTTAATTAAAGACTGTATCGTTGTTCTCTGCTGTGCAACTCTGATTAGGTGAAGCATGTTACTGCTTTATAAAATATAGAATGTTGTCGTAACTTATCTCTGTGTATCTTTCCATTGCGTGGATTAGAGAAAACAAGGTCCTGTAGTTTCTTTTCCTTTCCTTTCTCCAGCATTCCTCTCTCCCTAGGTCATGGAAGTGCCACTGCGATGTGGCTTCCTTTGTTCTGGTGAAGGGGAGATGATTGGAGCCTCTCATGATTATTCTGGATGCTGTTGGAGGGAAATGCCAGAGCTCCCACATCCCCACAGTACAGGCACCATCTCCTTTCCAACACACCTCATACTGTGTACCTGTGGAGGGCAAGACAGTTAGTGTGGCTAGGTGAGAGGCAGTGTCCCAAACTGGAGTTTGCTGGAGTTGTCACAAGGTTAGGAAAATTTCATTGACCAAGCCAGCCTCTTTTATATGCAATATGGTTACAGGTAGGTAACAGTTTGCTGAATATCTATCATAAGCTTAGTTGCATGGAGGATACACATGTAAAAAATGGCCTGTAAAATTTTGAGTCAAGAAACTTATTTAGAGAAGGTGAAATTAACACATGTAGGCTAGGGCTGCACTGTCCAATCTGGTAGCCACTACCCTCACATAGCTAATTAAATTAAAATTAATTAACATGAATGGATTAAACTAAATTAAATTTGAAAAATCAGTTGCTAGCCACACTTCAAGTGTTCAGTAAACATGTGGCTAATGGCTATCGAATTGAACAATGCAGAAGAACATTTTCATCCTTGCAGAACGTTCTCCTAGACTTTGTTGGTCTGGGAGCTAAATCGTGTGGCTGGGAATAGAGGAGCTTTGAAAGAGGGGAATCTGTGGTGACTCCAGGAGCTAAGGGAGGCTCCAGCTGGGGTCAGTGGGACATGGCTGTGCCTCTGAGGAGTGAGCAAGTCTGTGAGAGGTGTGGTGACATTGGCCTGGCTAGAACTGAGGGGAGGAACAGGAGGTCAGAGTGGTCAGGGGTTGGTGGCTCCAAATTGAAGCTAACTCATCTTGTGTCAAAGCAGGCTTTAAAGTGTTTGAGGGGCATGAAGGTGTCAAAAAAGGTTAGGAATCATTGAAGATGGGCTTACAGAATTATGAGGGAAGGGTCAGGTTTGTGGTTTCAGAGATCCTGTCCCTCCTGGCCGTAGCCCTGACCCCAGCCCTGACCCCTGGCTCCTGCAGCAGGGCCCTTGGCATCCACTGAGGCAAGATTGAAGCTGGGTCAGCTCACTGTCCTTTTTTACTTGTGAATTCTGGGCTTTGACTGAGCTTGGAGACAATCTCCAGCTAAGATACGGGATCAGTGGCTGACAGGAGGGGAGAGACAAGCAGTCCCTGGGCCTTAGGGCCAAATATTGGTGGGTGTCTAGGAAACAAAAGAACCCCTTTGTGGGAGGAGGAAGGTATTGGGACCTGTGATGTTTCTGCTACTTGGGACCTGAGAGGTTGGGCCATCCATAATTGATGATTTTTCTTATGAAGCAGGTACAGGGGATTGGGAGGAGGGCCTGGAAGAGCCCAGCCTCAGAACTGCTGGAGGCAAACTTAATCCTTGGGCTAGGGGAGGGGCCAAAGCTCCTGTTAGCCAGAGCCCAGGAGTGTGCTGAGTGGGTGCCAGGAGGAATGTCAGCCAAGATGGGGAAGAGCAGGGCACAGTCGTCTGCATCTGAGCCATTGCCCAGTTCCCAAGCAGCCTTGCCATGCTCTGAGCTGGGGTTCTTCCTGGTGGCGTGATGTCTGTGGTGCAGGATTCACTCTATTCTCCTACCTTTCCTCTACTTCAGGCCCTGCCAAGTGTCATGTGAGGTCTCTTTTCCCCCTCTTCCCTGCACTGTATCTTTCCAGATGGTTCTGTGTCCTGGAGGGAGGTGGATGGGCAGAGAAGAGTTGTTCTTTGCAGGGACTGCAGCTTTTCTTGGTAATGGTTTGAGGCCCAGTGGCAAAGCAACCCACACTTCATAGTAACTTAGAACCCACACTCCCTGGTCATCTTTCTTGACTCCTTGCACATCACTGAGGAAGAAGCTGGCCTAGTGCAGAAATGTTCAGTGGCATGTCCAAGGTCTTACATGGTGTCAGCATCCGAGCCACATCTTGAGACCTGGTTCCCTGGGACCTGCTCTTGGTCTGGGCCCCTTTGGTTTTTGGTTGCTAGAAGACTGTAGACCTGGTGGAGCAAAACTGAGCTCCACTAACGCATCAGCTAGGATCTTTCCACATGGGTTACCTTGTAAATGGGGGCATTGGTGAAGAGAAGGGGCCATGTCACTGGACAGTGTAATAACGTATGGCAGTTATAGAACCCAAATCAGATTGCTGTGTACCTTTTCTAGTTTTTAGGAAAATACTGGTATTTTGTATTTTAAGATATATATATATATATATATATACACACATACACAGATATAGATATGTAGAGATGAGCTTGTTACCATGGGTTATGTGCTAGATAAGAAAGCAAAAATAAGTGCATACATAAATAGAAAGCTTCCAGTGTTTGTATGCTGCTAACAAGTTACATGACCTTGAATAGGTCAGCTAAACTTTCCAGGCCTCATTGCACAGAGGGTCGGCTCGAGCAGCTCCTGAGCACCGGCAGGGTGAGGCAGTAGAAGGCGGTGCTGCAGGCCAGAGGTGGAGGGCAGGCAGGATAGCTTGCTGACTTGCTCCGGGTCTGACCATCAGCAGTATCTGGGTCAGCACAGATGCCCTTTCGTAAGCTTAGTGCCTGGCTCCAGGGCAGCCTGTGTCCAGTTAATGAATAATCATCACTGACCAGCTGCTCCTTCTCTTGTGTGAAGACTTAGAAAGTGTTCTATGCTGGTGACTCGGCAGAGAGGATAGACTACGTAATTTAGCAGGGTGTGCATCTTCTCTTTCCTTAAAATCAGAAGAATCATAGTGTAGTGGTGGTGCAAAGTAGAGATGAGGAACTCTATTCCCTGTTTGAGATTCCTTTCTCAAGTTATGGGGCATTTGAGGGCCACTGTGATTTCTGGTGCAGGCTGTTCCCTGTGCACAGGGATCTGGTTGAGGAGCTAAGCGAAGGCTGAAGTCCAGCCACTGTCTCCTTGCTTGGCTTTGTCTTTGTGTGTGGCTGGGTTCTTTCAAAGGAGTGCCTTCTAATTCACCAAAGGTATGGTTATGGATTAGGGGTTGTTCTTAGGTTAGAGTTGGGGACTGATTCACAGAGCTGATGAGGAAATTAGGATTTACATTCAGGTGACCCTCAGCCCCTCAGACCAGGCTGAGTAAGAAGAGATATCAGGAATCCAAGGAAGCAGGAGGAAAAGGGGTTGCCTGGTGATGTCTGTTCTCTTTCCTCCTCTTCCTGCCCATGCAAGGCTAGAGCAGCTGTTTCAGCCCCGGAGGTTTAGACTGTGGGGTCCTGTGTGCTGGGCCATCAGGTTTGGTGGGAGGAGGAAGAAAGCCACAGTAGAAGGAGACATAAAGTTGGGCTGGGCCTCTGGCAGTGAAAGGTTCTTGGGGTCTTTATTGTCTGATCAGTAAACACCTCTGTGTGCCAGAATGAGCTGGGACAAGGCCCCAAGGTCAGCCCATATTTGTATCTGGTGTTCTCCTCCAAGACCAGCCAAGCTGTGCGCTCATTCTGCTGGGAACCTGAGCCCTCCAAAAGGGTCATATGAAAGGGCATCTTATTCTTGAGGGACGTTTCCAAGCATCTCTGTGGCCAGTGTCCATCCAGGACTCATCTTAGAGGTGAAGAGTGGTGGCCAGAGGCGGAAGCTAGTGGCCACCCGATGGGAGCCTTTTCTGTTTCAGAGCATATGAGGGAGCTGAGGGAGCTGTACTGTTGATGCCTTCTCTCTGGCTCATCTCCATGAAGATTCTTTTGAACCAGAAGCAAAGGTGAAGTCTCTCTGAGGGGAGGGGCTGAACAGGAGATCTACTGACTGTCCCCCTGCCGACTCCTCCACTTTCGTCCTCCGGCGGGGCTCCTTATCCTCCTGCTTGTCTACAGGGAGAAGATCGAGTTGTTCGTTTGCTGCCATTTTAATGATCCACATTGTTAGGAGGCTCTCAGTACACACCGGACCTTAGCAGCCTGGCCTCCTGCCCAGGGCCCAGAACTGTTACTCAGCCCCTCTGCCGAACAGCTAAAAATAAACCTGCCACTGCTGCAGTCTCCCCTCACAGCCAGGCCCTGTTAGCTGTCCCAGTGCTTCCTGCCACACCGCTGACCTGTTTCTCTCACTTTCTGCTGATATTCTCCCTGCTTGCCCCTTTCTCTTCCAGCCTGAGCTTGGTAGGTGATTTGGGGCTAACTCACTCTTCTGAGTGCTGGGAGACGTGCTATGGTTTTTATGTCTCCAGGTGTCTAGATTTGTGTGTATGAAAGCTCCGTGAAGCTGTCCTGCTTATTTCCCAGTAGGGAAAGGGTTAGACAAAAAGGAGAGTGACCAAGCTCATCAGAGTGGATCAGACCTTCTACTGTGCTCGCCTCCAGCCCTGGCTTCCTCCAGTTTTACCTCCAAGCAGGCCTCTTTGCCAGAGTTACCTGGTTATGGTAACAGAGTTACCATAGTTATATGCTAGGACAGCCCCACATGGGCAGTCTGCCCCAGGCCTTCAACCCGACTGCCCTGTCACCGAGCATGCTACCTACCGTGTACTCCTGCCCTGTTGCTACGTTATATTCTCCACCTCCGCAGTGTGAGGCTTTGGGCTACCACATTCAAAAGTGTGACCTCATCTTGTCAGCGTCCAAGAATAACTGGGCCCTGGCTCTCAGGATCTCCTTCCTGAGTCAGGCCATGGCACCTCTGGCCCTTCCAGCTCAGCCACATGCAGAATGTCACCGAGTGCATGGGTTTCTTCTACCTCTTGACTGCAGTATTGATGTGTGTCCATGGAGGTGTGGCCTCTTCCTCTACTCCCCAGGGATCCTGGAGACTTGTGGAGCAAGATGAGGAAAGGGGCTCAGGTAGCTAGAATATTTGCTTAGCTGATAGATACTGGGCAGAGTCTGACATTGGCATTCTGTTCTTCAGCGTGGCGTTAGTATTCTTTCTGATTTTTTCTAATCCCTAGACAGGTGTTGATACTAATCGTGGCCTAGGAGGGCTCTATGTCTGCTTTCAGGAATTATGGTTTATTTGGGGGAAGGGGTGTATGGTGGAGAGTGATGGCAATGACAACCAAGACATAGGACTTGAGGAACCCACTGCCTTCAGCTAGAGTTACATACTCTGACCATGTGTCGATGGCCTCCTTCTCCCACCTCTCCCCTGGGGCCACATTTCCTCTGCAAGGAAAGATTTATCTGCCAAGGCCCATTGGCCTGTGCAGAGGAAGAGTTGGGCATAGTTGCTAAGTGTTTATTTTTAACTCTGACAGAAGGAGCCCCTGTCCTCAGAATAGCCATACCCTCTGTCTTTCCCTATCCCGACTGCCTTCCTTGGCTTCTGTGATTCCTAGAAGAAGGTTAGTAGGATTCTAAAGGCCAGGCTTCACGGGAGCTGGAGAAGGCTAGCTTCTCTAAGTGAGGAATCTGCAGGTTGCTCGTCATGCTTGGCTTCTGCAGAGCTCAAAGGGTCCTGCGGGGAGAGCCCTGGACACTAAAGGCCGTGTGTCTGGAACTTGGAGAATTCTAGGAATGCAGGTGACCTGATGAGGAGGCTGCATGTGCCCTGCAGCTCAGAGCAGCCTGGCTGCACAGCTGAGTTGGACAGCCCAGCAAGGGGTCATCCCATACCTTCTACATCCTTACAGGCACCCAGATCTCTGGCAGATGGGGAGGCCACAGGGAGAAAATGAGCATATGTAGTAACCTGCCCTGGAAACACTTGCGCTTGCAGACACGCCAAGTGCTGTCATTCCCTCTGACTGCCAGGCTCACGAGCATCATGTCCTTTCCAGCAGAGCCCACCTGCGACTCTTAGTGACTTCATACCCTTTGTGTTCTCTTCCCCTGATGTGCTTTAGTGACCTGTGCTCACAGAGAGGAGGAGGAAGGGTGGCAGTGCCCCCTCTCCTGGGTCTCAGACTTTCCTGACTTTATGCATTTGATTTGGCTACCTGGGCTCGGATACTTTAAAAGAAAATAAAATTAGGTTTGAGGTGTAACCAGAGAGAGAAGGAATAGAGAGTAGTAGGGGGTGGGATGGGTGGTTGAAACATGTGGCTAACTCTGAGAACCCTCAGCTATGGAAGGAAGGTCTTGCCCCCATGATTCTTCGGCGTGCAGTGGGGGATTAGTTTGCCCAGAGCCCAGCTCTGATCATGTAGCTTCCCAGCTTAAGCCCTTCAGTGGGTCTCTCTGCCTGCAGAATACATGAGATATCCACATCTTTCCCAGATCTGGCCCTGATCTGTTTTTTTTTTTTTTTTTGGAACACATGCTTTTTTTTTCTCCCCAGCTTAAGTGGCTTATATATGTTGTTTCTTTAACAGAACTGTGCTTTCCACCCCCACACCTTAGCATCTATCCATCTGCATCTTCTCTGTACCATGCCTGTCCCCCGTCCTGTCTATATCTACCTTTTCCACCCTGCACAGATGCTGCTTTTCCAGAGCCTTTCGCACCAAAAGTGGGTCTTCCCATCCTTCCCCATCAAACTTGCTGATACACTCTTACCTTTTATTTCTCTGTTTAAGTGCATTTCTCCATGTGCAAGGCATCTCTCTCTCTCTCTCTTTTTTTTTTTAACAGGAAGGTAATTTATTAACGGAAAATATTTGAGGAGTCCTGTGCACAGTGACCATGGCAACCCCCCTTCCTGCGGGTGCTGTCAGAGGGGTTGGGAGTGACGTCCTCAATCTGTCCGATCTTCATACCTGAGCGGGCAAGGGCCCTGAGGGCCACCTGGGCCCCAGGTCCAGGGGTCTTGGTTCTACTTCCTCCTATGGCTCGGAGTTCGATGTGTAGGGCAGTGATACCCAGCTCTGGGCCACATCCCGGGCAGCCAACATAGCAGCATGTGGTGAGGATTCATCTCACCTGCCTTCACCTTCATCCTACCAGTCACACGGCAGATGATTTCTTTGCCAGAAAGATCAGTGACATGGACAAAAGTGTCATTGAAGGATGCAAAGATATGGCAGACACCAAATACATTCTCTCCTTCAGCCACCTGAGGTCTGAGGCTGATGACCTGTTCTTCCTTCTTTTCCTTCCCCTTTCAAGGTGCCATTTCTGCATGTTGTTTCCAGACTCCGCACAGGAACGCAAGGCACCTCTTTAGATATCGGATTGGACTGTAAATCCCCTGAAAACCTACATCTTCATTATTTTTGTGTCCTCTTATTTTCATGTAGTGACCGTATGTCCTCATTAAAAAACTCAGGCCAGGCATGGTGGCTCACGCCTGTAATCTCAGTGCTTTGGAAGGACAAGTGGGAGGATCTTTTGAACTCAGGAGTTTGATATCAGCCTGGGCAACATAACAAGACCCCATCTCTACAAAAAATTAAAAAGGTTAGCCAGCTGTGGTGGCACATACCCATAGTTTCAGCTACTCAGGAGGCTGAGGTGGGAGGATCACTTGAGCCCAGGAAGTCACGGTTACAGTGAGCTATGATCATGTCAGTGCACTCCAGCCTGGGTGACAGAGCGAGACCCCGTCTCTGAAAAAAGAATCCTAGAGTATTTTGGCACTGTGCATTATATGCATTATACTTAGCTGCTGAATAAAGGTGTGATAACTGAGTAATAGTGGATGCCACCGATATTAAATGTGATGTACTAGAGGTAATCCTCAGAGTCAGGGACTGTGGCAGCCCTGGGAGTGGGATAGTACTGGGCTGTGCTCTCTGAGACTGAGCTGGGGTAGAGTGATGATCTCTCACATTGTCTGTTCTCATTCTTCTGCTGCTGAAAAGCTGCTCTTAGTCTTCTGAGCATTTCTTCCCTCTACCCACTTGGATCTGCTGACTCAAGCAGGCACCTTCTATTTCTGCTTACAGAGTTCTCATTCTTACAAGGACCCTGACCACAGTTTCTCATTGATGCCTCTCCTCCTTCTCCCTGTTCCAAGGCCCCTCCTATTCCTGTTCAGTCATGGAGATGACCCTTTTGCCCTTTGGAGAACTTTAACTGAGGGAGGGACAGATGTGGAGCTTGCCAACTTTCCTACAGCTCCTGGCATTTTCTAGTTAGCTACAGACACGGCACAGACACACAGATGCAGTCCATTGTTTTCTATCTGCTGGTCCTGCTCCTGTGTGTTGCAAGAGGGACGAGTGTTAAACACTGTATTAGTCCATTTTGTGTTGCACTAAAGGAGTATCTGAGACTGGGTAATTTATAGAGAAAAGAGGTTTATTGCTCACAGTTCTGCAGGCTGTACAAGGATCATGGCACCAGCATCTGCTTCTGGTGAGGACCTCAGGAAGCTTTTGCTCATGGGGGAAGTTGAAGGGGGAGCAGGCATGTCACATGTCGAGAAGAGGGAGCATGGGGGTGGGGGAGGCCCTCGACTCTTTTTAACAACCAGATCTTCTATGAACTCAGAGCGAGAACTCACTGCCACAAGGAGGGCACCAAGCCATTCATGAGGGATCTGCCCCCAAGACCCAAACATCTCCCACCGGGCCCCACCTCCAACACTGGGGATCATACTTCAACATGAGATTTGGAGGGGCCAAATATCCAAACTATATCAAGTACCCAGTTGCTGGGACTGAGGTCAAAGGTTTGAACCTCATGGGGCTGCTTAACTCCATGCCACAACAGATTTACACAAGAAAGAGAACCTGACACTAGACTGGAATCTGGGAGACCTGGCTACTAACTCTACCTGTGTGGCCCCAAGCAAGTCCTAGGACCTGTCTGGGCCTCACTCAGTTTCCTCATTGTAAATCAACAGGACTAGACTTGACCTTGAAGGACTCCTGCACCGAAAGCCTTTCATCACTGTTGTTGCATCCGCACTGCTGGGAAAATAACCTGATGCTGGGAAACAAGTGGTCGGCCTGGGTCCCAGGGAGCCTCGGGGACTAAGAGCCATCATCTCTGTCCTCAGTTTCTGCAGGACAGTGTTACTTCACCTTTTTCCTGGCTGCAGTGTTTTTATTCATTCAGCCAATGTTTATAAATGTTTATTGTTCTCCATGCCTGCCTCCTGTCTTCCCTGCTGACTGGCCATCAGGAGGCCCAGATGGCAGGATTAGCTTGGAATGGCAGAACAGTCAAGGGTCATCCTCTTGGGTTTAGACCCCTTTAATACCTCTGCTATATGAGATGAGAAGAATTTAGAACATTGATCCTTCCAGCAGCTTAGACTAGACCCCTGCCTTTCTAAGCAGGATTTGCCTGTGGGTACCTTCTATACCCTTGAGATCCAAAGCAACTTACTACTCAAGAAAATTAATTAGCAATGCCAAGAGTGACTTGTACAGCTCCCCTAAGGATAGCTCAAAACAGCAGATAGACTTTGATACAATATAACAAATTTCTATTATTCAGATCACTGTAGGAAACTTAGCAACTCTGTGAAGGTTTCCCAGATTAATAACAAGTCTTTATTGAGCAGATACTATGTATCAGGCATTGTGTTAGGTGTTTTACTTACATTCTTGTTAATCCTTAAAATAACCCTTTTACTGCAAAGTGAAAGTCCCCATTTTACAGAAGAAACATGTTCATGTACAGAATAATTCCTTAGCAATTATTTATTGAGCACCTACTAAGTGCTAAGCATTATCTTGGGCTCTGGATATACATCAGTATATAAAACAGACAAAAAAGCTATTTGGGGGGTGGGAAGGGGGACCAGGTAGAGGAATAGCAAGTGCAAAGGCAAAAGCCTGAGGCTTATTAATAAGTGTGTCTAACTCTAAAACCTAGGCTCCCTCCAGCTCACAGTATTGCCTCTCTAATGGTCCTTTGTGACTCCATTATAATTGGGTACTTAGATGACCTAGCAATTTTAAGTTTATCCAATATTTATGGGATACTTATTTTGTGCAAATTGCTACGATGAGATGAATAAGTTGTAGGCCCTGCCTTTGGAAACATACAGTTTAGAGGAACGAACACCCGTGTGTATAAAAATGAATGAAAGAGGACTTCCTCTCAAAATCCAGATCTTACCATTTCTTGCATTTTTGTCATTTGACCCTTGTAGGCCAGATGGTGTGGTTCCTCGTTTTGTATCTGAAGGAAGAGTTTCAGGGAGTGGGTGGGGGTAAGTGTCTGGGCACCAGGGTGGCCAATAAAGGATGCAGAGACACATGATGGGCTCTTCAAGGTGGGAGGAAGTAGAGGGTGGGATCACTGCCTGGCATGGGCAGAGGATACTTCATGGACATATACCTGTGACACAGCCAGGGGAGGGTGCAGATGAAAATACGTCCAGTGGGATGGTTTCTAAGGAGAAGTGTGAGGGACTCCACTGGGGCTCCGTATTTTGTCTGGCTGAGGAGGGAGAGATGCTGCCTCTCCAGGAATCTGGTAATAGGCAATGCTTGAGATTGGTGTGAACCAACGCATCACATAGAGCCAGGAGAAGTCACGAAGGAGGCAAGAAAAAGAAATGGCTGGGCTAAAGCTGTGGCAGAGCCCTTTTTATCCTCCTTTGGGCCCTCATATGGCTTCTCTTTTGGTCTGAAGAATCTCATCCTTCTTGAGTTTAGCCTTCTAGGTGAAGGAGTGGGCAGACTGCATGCAGGGAGACAGGGAGGCCGTGTTTGTGTCCTTCAGCTCAGGAGCTGAGAGAACAGAGGTCAGGGCTTGGGATGGAGCTGACCGTTAGTGCAGATGGGAAAGTGAAGCAATGGGTCGGGTCTGTTTGTTCCTGAGCATGTCCTGTGACAAAGGAAGTTGCAACATGTCTGTCTGTCTTTCTCTCTCTTTTTCTTTTCTCCTTTCTTTTCGTTTCTTTCTCTCTCTCTCTCTTCTTTTTTTCTCTTTCTTTCTTCTTCTTACTTTTTTTTTTTTTTTTTTTAAATAAAGAAAGAAGCAGGTAAAACCATCTTCCAGAAAATGCCAGAAAGAATATCTGGTCTGTGATGGGTGGTTCTTGCCCCTCCCGCTGCAATGCTTTTCCTGTGTAGTTTTTCTTTTGTCCTTCCTTTCCCATCCACACTTTCCACTCTCCTTTCCTCTGAGAGGTTGTGTCTCTGCAGCAGGCCAGCTATGTCTCCAAAGGGAAGTAGTCAGTGCTTGGACTGAGGGAACCTTGAGAGAGAATCCTCTCCTTTGTCCTCCAGGTGAGAGAGCTGTTGCATCCACTCACACCTGGAAGGTTGCTGGTCTCCTCTCGCTGGACACTGAGAGCTGTTTAAATTTGACAGGTGGTTCCTGATTCCCACCTGGCATTTTTTGCTGCTGCACAGGTCTGTGTTGTGTCTTAGAAGGCTGAGGGAATACTTACTTCTCAACTCAGATAACCACCTTGTTGGTAGGTTCAGTGTGTGTCTGTGTCAAGGCAGATGCTGGGAAAAAAGGGCCCAGAATGTGAGTGGGAGGTAGAAATCAAGGCTAGAAGACCACACATGTTAATCTGGAGTACTTGGTCAGGTTTGATTTTGGCCTGTGTGCTATAGCTGGGCAAGAAGCCAGTTGTGTTTGGAAATGTACAGATGATCTATTTTCCTGATGAAACCTTTTGAGGTCTGGAATAAACATAGCTTGCTTTCTCTCTTTCCCTCTTTTGAGATTCAATTTCTCTCCCTTGGACTTCTATACCCTAGTAGAGCCAAAAGTTCCAGTACAAACCAGTTTTGAGACTCCAGCATTAGTCAACTAAGGGATGTTGTAGGTCATCCCTGAGAACGAGGGCTGCTTGCTCTGGGGAAGCTGGGAAATGGCACCAGGTGTCAGGCCCTACTGCCCAGGATGGGATGACAGCTGCTGGTGTTAATTACGTTTCTGGGCAGAACAGGGTAAAGTCCTTGGGGGTGAGAGTTTTTGTTTAGGCACTGTGTTCCCTGTACCTGTTGCCTCTGGTACAGCTGCTGCAGAGCCCCTCCTTGCCTGCAGTCTTCTTTGAATTTAATCTCCCTGTGATCCAGTGCATCTCTTCAGACTGGAGGTGAGCCCAGAGGAGTGGTGGAGGGAGTGGGGCCAGAATTTACTTGTTTGCCTGGATCCCACTGAGAATACAGAAGCTCTCTTTCACGAGAAGCTGTGCTGGCCTCTGTGGTACCCACTGGCCATATGTGACTATTAAAATTGAAATTAAGTGTTAATAACATTTAAAATTCAGTTCCTCAGTAGTGCCAGCCACATTTTAAGTGCTCAGTGGTTAGCTAGTGGCCACGGTTTTATGTGGCACAGATAGAGAACATTTTATCATCACAGAATAGTCTCTTAGACAATGCAAGATTCTGAGATAATTTTTCTAATCCTGGTAGACACTTAGCTGGAAGGGGATTTGAGGAAGGGTACAGGGAGAGGTTTTGAAGCCCAGGTGAGAGGGCAAGTAGAAGGTATTCATTTAGAAAAGGATCTTAAAAAGTATTTAGTTTGTAGGGCCAGGTGCAGTGGCTCATACCTATAATCCCAGCAGTTCATGAGGCTGAGGCAGGCAAATTGCTTGAGCCCAGGAGTTCGAGACCAGCCTGAGCAACATGGGGAAACACTGTCTCTACAAAAAATACAAAAATTAGCCTGGCGTGGTGGCGTACACACATGGTTCGATCTACTCAGGAGGCTGAGGTGGGAGGATCACTTGAGCCTGGGAGGCCAAGGCTGCAGAGAGCCGTTATTGCACTGCACTCCAACCTGGGCAACAGAATGAGACCCTGTCTCTAAAAAAAAAAAAAAAAAAAAAAAAAGAGGAGTTCACCTTGTTGAGGACTACATCCTAAGAGATGGTCACCTGGCCCAGTGGCTCCCAAACCAGGATGATTGTTAGACTCACTTGTGGGTAGCATTTCAAGATACAGATTCCTGGGCACCACTCTTTGTGTCTAGTTGAATCCAAGACTCTTCAGAGGAGGTAACCTGGAATGTGCATTTTTAATGTGCTCCCCAAGTGATAATTATCTGGGTTTGGCAACCACCAACCTATCATACCTGTGCTTAAATTCTTCCAATGGTAAGGAGCTTATCCCTTTTCAAGAAAACCTTACCATTAAGGAAAAATTCGCTGTTGTTAAAGTTCTATGTTTTTCGAATCTTGAGATTTGGTTCTTTGAGGTCATGAAATCCTTTGGTGCTCATTGCATCTTTAGAGCCTCGCAGAACCGTCATCTTCATCCTTGCACTCAGTCTTCAGCAGATATTTGAGGGCAGCTGTGGTGTGGTCCCTGCCACTCCAAGTCATGGCATGCGTCAGAGTGCTTGATCTGCCAAGGGCTCTAGGGAGATGCAGAGATGCAACATCATTCCAGGATCCTTCCAATTGTCAGGCCTTGCTGAGAGCCAGAGGAAAGGTCTGAATCTCAGTGGAGCCCTACAGGGACAGCCCAAGGGCCATCCAGCCGGTGAGGGCCATGTGTGTGTCTGCCTCTCTGCATCCTGCTCCGTAGGGAAGAGTCCCTGCTTCTTTGCATGTTAGCACTTGTTAACACCGACCTGGTTTTCTTCAGAGACATTGAGAGATTCAGCCATCCATTCCCGGTAATGACAGATGTCATTTCTGTTTAGAGACCTTCAGTAGCCTCCCTTCACTTCCAGTGTAAAATTCAAACTCCTGAACGTGGCATTCAAGCAAGCTGGTTTGTCCTGCCTTCCACACTTTGCCTTCCAGGAGAGCACTCCTTCCCGCTCTGCCTTGCATTTATCTGCTTCCACATCTTCTCTTGGATCTTACATTTGCTTATCTTCAGTTTTTTCTGGTAGAACTGTATTTATCCTTCAAGGCTCATAATAGATTTTACCCCCTTACTCCCCTGCCCAATTCCAGGCAGAACTGCCTCCCTCCTCTGCCCTAGTGAGGGTTCATTCTGCCTGCATGACTGCTATGCACTCAAATTACAGCCCCCTGCCAGGCCCTCCCTGCTAGACCAAGCTCCTTGCGGACAAGAACTATGTCTTACTTGGCTTGATATCCCCAAGTGCAAGCAAGCACCAGTGCTGGAGCCTCCTTTTCCTGCATTGGCATTCTTACCCTCAGTGGCCCAGAGCTCATCAGCTCCAATGAGAAAAGTGCTACTTAGCAGCTGATAATTAACAGACAGGACGTGAGGTTTGGCTACTTCAGAGGCAAAACTGGTATTTAAACAATAAGGTTTTTAAAAATCAAGCATTAAAGTGTCAGCTTCAGAAGCAGCTACTTCCAAACATAATCCTGCCCAGTTAGAGAAGACAAATGGAATAATGAGTGGAACCAAAGATTTCTCTCTAGCCTTGAGAAGAGTTCAGGGGAAAGAGGCCTGGGTGGCGTATTGGCAGGAGATTGGAAAAGGGGCCTTCATATTTCTTTTCTCTGGAATGGGGCTGGGGCTGCTTGGAGAGCAGGTGGGAGGTGCTTCCTTAGAAAGGGCTGTCTGTGTTCTCTTCCATTCCCAATTTCTATAGATTGGACTAGTTTTGCCAAGTGAGCAAGCAAGAAAAATTGGGAAACAGAGGGTAGGCATCAACCCTGGCATTTATCCTAAGGTGATGCAGCACACACTTGTATTCAGCGATAGAGACTTTTCCGTAATGCCTGGTAATATCTCATTGTATTTTCTTTTGATGCTCCTGGGGGCAGGAGGGGAGAGCTGACATCAGAGCCTCCTCCCTTCTAGATCACAACCAGAGCATGAGGAATTCCCCAGCCCCTTGAGGTACCCAGACACTAACCACAATCTCCATCTCTGCTGAAGGCGTTGTAAGAAACATGCAGGCCAGGAACAGTCAGTGGCTTCAGAGCAGGGGCAGCCTGCTAAAGAGGCAGAGGCTTCTTGTGAGGGCGGGGAGCTTGAGAGTGCCCTGCACCCCATCCTGGGGGAGGTGAGCATCTGCTTCTGGGTTCAGCTGCCTGCGGAAGTCAGTGGGAGACACCCTTTCAGGGTCTGCTTCATTATGAATGAAGCAAAAAGCCTATCCCAGGAAATCACAGAGGCTGATGGGTATACCCCAGGGTACACAGGCTATATTTTTCCAATCCAAAGTGAGGGTCTATCTGATAGTTTTTCCTGGAGTTGGGGAGGGGTCCTACTTTCAGATCCAAAAGAAAATCTGAGATATGTCATTTGAATATGAACGCACTAGACTTTCTGGGAAATGTTGAAGATTTACGCCTGTCTGAGTGTCTCTCACTCGTTGTTACCTGTCCATTTGTTACCTGGCCCACGGATGGAGGAGGTCGGATGGGGTCTCCCAGGGTCCCCTTGCTGGGCACGCTTGGCAGGCATCCTGCTTTTCCTTTCAGGTTGCTGGAATTAGTGGTGGTGGTGGCTCAGCTCACCCAGACCATGTGTGATGGTTATGGTGGTGACTTCTCACTGACTGCTGATGTGTACAGTACATTGAAAGCAGTCACCCAACTTCCTTTATAGCCGGATACAAAACAGTGCCTGAGGTCCAGGGTCGGGGAGGACTTGATGAGGGAATAAAACCAGCCGGCTCATCTAGGGGCTGATATCTGTCCGTGGTGACATAAGCACACATGATCTGCAGTCAAGGTTGACTTGAGGGTGTGCATGGGTTCAGTCCCTTTTATGAAGTCTAATGGTCCTTCCAGAAGCTTCATCATCATTTGAACTGAATAAGTGAAGATGAGTGCACCACAAGTGTGTGTGTGCACTTCTTAATCTGTCCATTCATCTGTTCACTGCAGGCTTATTGAGGGAGAAACATGTAAGCAAGGTATTTCTTGTGTACTCCAAGTGGTAGGAGAGCTATGTTCAGGGAACTGGGTGAACTTGGAAGAAGGAGCCGCCCGTTTCTCCAAGTGCAGCGCCAGTCCCGAGACACTCTGTGATCATCTAAACTGGGGAACAGTCTGCAATGCACATTACTGAATTAAAAGCTCTGAGAAGTTCTACAGTGAAAGAATCTGTTTAACTTTGTTTAACCTGGTGCTTCTGCCATCTATATGACCCCTTTTTACTTAGCACTTATTAACATCCTACGGAATACTATTTGAGAAATGGCAACAGCCCCCCTTCTCTGGGAGAACTGTTCAGTGATTCAGAGCAAAAGTCACCTGACTCTGGGTCAGCACAAGTTGGAGAGGTTTGAAAAAGGTGTATGTATGTTTGCATGTGTATGTACGGTGGGTTGGGGGGAGGGGTGTGGCAGAGGAGGGGCCCCGGCAGGTGGCTTCTATTGAAATCAGCTCTGTCTGCCTCCCTGTTGGCTTTGTGCTTCTGGAGAAGCTTTTGTCCTGGCATGAAAACACTGAATAGCAGCTGCATCTGTCATGCCTGGGAAGCAGCAATGTGCAGCATGGGGTTGCATGAGTAGACACTCCTGCTGGAGGGCCAGGCTGCCGAGAGTGCCTGGGTATTGGACAAGGGAGAGGCTGGTGATTCTGAGGCAGCTGCTTGCTAATCCTGGAAGCAGAGGGGAACAAGATTTAGCTCCCTTATCTCTCTGCCTTCTCCTTTCCGATGGGTGCAATTGTGTTGACTCTTGAGGGACAGCCAGGAAGAAGCAGGTGGGCTGGATGCTTTCTCCTTTCTCCACCAACCCAAGGGCATCTGGAGGGTGGACCAGGGCAGAAAGGCGATTAGCTCTCCGTTACCCAGGGAGCTGAGACAAAGGCATTTTGGGTTAAATTCAAGGAGGAATTCAGAATTGTGAACTGGATTTATGGAAGTTTGTGGAGTTTGAAAATTCGAGAGTCCTGGCTGGACTTGTGCTTGGAACGTTGGTCGGAGGTGGATATGAATGATGGGTCCTGCAGATGGCCGACTCCTGAGAAATGACTGGGAGGCTTTACTGGATTTTTCGCTTGGAACAAACCCAGGCTTAGGGAATTCCCGGAGCCTGTTGCAGGCCTCAACACCCTTCTGGTGCAGCTTCGCTGTGAGGCAGTGGTTATTTCTCAGGAAACTGGCAACTGGGAGTAAATGGGAGTGTGGGGTGGGAATCAGCTACTCTTCCTGAGGATTATACACTTCCAGTGTAATTAAGGCGGGGTCAGGATTTCCTATCTCTTATTTATTTATTTATTTATTTATTTATTTATTTATTTATTTATTTGCTTAATCTTAAAAGGCTGCTTTTCCCCTCCTGGTCTTCCCACAGGGACAGGAGTTAGTCTGTTCCCAGAAGGAGCTAGGGGAGGTGTCCTTCATCTCCCATTCCTTCTTGCCCTCTCCCTGCCTTTCCCTGGCCACAGCCACAGAGACCCAGAGTCACTCAGATGGGGGAGGAGCAAAGCCAGTCCCTCTGATCATTGCCTCTTTGTTAGTGGAGAAAGGGCAGATGCTGCTCTGCAGTTATCCCGACCACCCTGCAGGACGTCTGGGTGGGCCGGGCTTTGGTTTGGGAATCGGGAGTATTAGCTGCAGCTGCCAACTGGGCTTGTACTTGCAGACTCCCAGGCTCCAGGCTCTCTGGAGGGGACCAGCAGCTCTGACCCCCGTGGGCTTGCTGTGGTCCCCAGGGAGCAAGCCCTTGCCAAGAACCTCTGAGCTCACCGAGGCGGGTATGGGGTAAGGATGGAGAAGGCCTGGGGAGCAGAAGTGTGCAGATGACTCCCTCCTTCCCCTCAGCTGGGTATGCATCACCGCTGCTGGGAAGACGTTCAGGCCACTTCTAGACAAATCGGTCATGATGGAAATTTTTTCTTGCCCGTGGGTGGGGCTTTACTTGTTCAGAAGTGGCTTCAGATGTGCTCTTTCTAGGTCCTGGCTTGAGTGCTGAGCATTTACCTGCAGCCCCTCGGGGCTAGAAGGCAGGGCAGTGTCTGAGCCCCTTCCCTACCCCTTGGGGCTAGAAGGCAGGGCAGTGTCTGAGCCCCTTCCCTACCCCTCATTCATTCTCTCCCCTCACCTGTCATTCCATCCGTCAGCCCCGAACAGCTTGGCAGCCTTGCGGCTCCAGCTGGAGCTTAGTAGGCATGTAGTTGGAGGAGGGAACGGCACTGCAGCCGCGCTCTTCTCTCTCCCACAGGTCTTCTTCTTGTTGGGCCTCCACTTCCTGTCAGGGCCCTGCTTGCAGCTGTGGCACATCTGGACCTAGACGGGGTATCCTGTTGTCCTGCATGATGAGGATCCCAGATTTCCCCTAGGTGATGACCACAGTCATTCCAGGGTGGGAGCAGGACTTCCCCCACCCCCAGGCACTCCAGAGACTTCCTCCAGGCCCCCACTAAGTAGTCTGTTCCCAACTCCATCTCTCCCCCATGGAGAATGGTGGGAAGGAAGTTCTGCCAGAGGTTGTTTTTGGTTTGTGAGGTAATAGACTTTGGTTTGAGAAACATACATCTCTCCCTCTTCTTTAAGATGTGAAGCCAGAAGCACCAGACTCTGGTTTCCTTGGAAACCAGAGCAGCAAAGGTAGAGAAAAAAGGGGCTGGTTGTAGGCACTGAAATTGGGGAGGATTCTCTGGATCCCAGCACTTTTCTGGGGAATCCACATGGTCTGCCCTGGGCCCTGGGTTGTAGCCCTCACTGTGTTAATGGACTGTGTAACCTTGGTAAAATGCCTGCAACTCTCTGCACCTTAGTTTCCGCCAAGATGCCTAAGGTGGGGAACATGTTGGCTCCACTCAGATTCTGTGCCCCAGAGACCTGCTGGGTGTGTGTGGGGGTTTGGGGGTAGGGCATGGGGCTCCTGCTCACTGATTTAGCATTTGCTGTGGCTAAACTACAAAGTGGACAGTCCACATGGAGACAGTTGAGAGCTACTTGCACCCAGGTCCTTTCTTTGAGAATACAGTGATGTAACAGGAGACTTCTTGCATTTTGCCTATGTGAAACCAGCTGGATTTTGCTGAAGCTGTAATTGTGTCTCTACATTCTTTGATTCCTGTCTAAAAAAAATGGTTTCCACAAATGCTGTGAAGAATAGACTGACAGAGCTGGAAAGCGTTAAGTAGGGATCCTTTAAACAGATCCCTACATTGTACATTGATCCCTTCAACCACAGCCAGAGAGGGGCAGGGACTTACTTGCTCTGATCACACAGTCAGAACAAGAACTAACAACAGTAAAGGTCTGGGTAGCAGCCTCACATATGCTAAGATTCCCTGTTGGCTAAGTTTGTCTGTTCCCAGGTCACCCTGGCCTTTTGCAATTCTGCCCTCCGCAGGCCCCTGTGTTGGCTGAAACCAGCCCTCTTCTTCCCCTTGCGCTTTCCTCCTGTGACCTCCCAGCCACCTCTTGTTTCCCCTGTGGTGTTCCCCACCTGTTGTTACTTCCTATTCCTCCTCACAACTTTTTATTATGAAACATTTCAGATGTGCAGCAAACTGGAAAGAATTGTACAGTGAACATGATTATACCAAACCACCTAGATTCAACCATTAGCCTTTTACTATGTTTACTTTATCATGTCTCTACGTGTTTCAATCTCTCTATCCATTGACCAGTCCATCTTATTTTGGGGATGCATTTTGTAGTAAATTGCAGACATCAATGTACTTTACCCCTAAACATCTCAGCATACATAGGCATTAATTTGAGTTCAATATTTGTTCATGCATTTTTTTGATGATAATATTTATATTAACAGTGAAAAATGCACAACTCTTAAGGTATCACCTGATAAGCTTTGATAAATGCCTCTATCTGTGCAACCCAAACCTCTGTCAACTATAGAACAAAAAGTTTTATTACCTAATTAATTCCCTCGTGTTGTTTCCCAATCATCCCAACACATACCCCCTCGCAAGTGATCACAGTTCTGATGTTTTCTCACTGTAGATTAGTTTTGCTTTTTCTGGAACCTCATATAAATGGGATAATCAGTATGAACTCTCCCTTTTGTGTGAATTTCATCTGCATGGTGACATGTATCAGTAGTTTGTTATGCTGAGCAGTATTCCATTGTATAGATATGATAAAATTTGCTTCTCCATTCCCCTGTTGATGGACATTTGGGCTGTGTCCAGTTTTGGGCTATGATGAATAAAGCTCCTGTTAACATTCTTGCACAAATCTTGTTGTGGATGTAATGTTTTCATTTCTCCTGGGTAAACAACGAGGAGTGTGATTGCAGAGTTACAGGAGGCTGTTACTTATTGTTCCTATCTGACTCTCTGCCCTGCCCTCTCATTGTACTGTGCACCCAATTATTTTAGGACTGTTATCACATCCAGTCCCTCAGTTGCTCCTTCAGGGTTTCTCTTCTTCCGGCAATTCACCCTAGTTTATTGAACTGTTGCTCTTATGTTATGCTCCTCAGATCTTTTATATCCTGGTTGTCCTCCTCTGGAAGTATAATACTCTTTTACAGATGTGTTGCCCAGAACTGAGTTCTCGCTGCTCGATGTGATCTACATGTGGATTCTAGGTATGGGAGAAATATAGAGTGTGGGTGCATTTGGATCCCTGTCTTGAGCTAGGTACTTGATCTGTGAGCTGAAGGAAATATTAACTTTTTGGCAGCCACGTCATGGCATCAGATCAGATGAGTTAATGTTTGTAAAAATACCACAAATCTAAGGTCATATTAAGATATCCATTCAGCTTGAAGTCAGTCCGAGCCTCTGATACTAATGGCATTTATTATGAACTTTCTACTTGCCATTGTGTCATTTAGTTTTTGCCTACCACTTGGTGAGAAAGGTACTATTCAAATTAGCTTAATAAAAACTCCTTGATTTAAAACTAGGGTACTTAGCTTTGGCACTGTTGACCTTTTGGACCAGATAAGCCTTTGTTTGTTGTGGGGGATTGTCCTGTGCTTTGTAGGAGTTAGCAGCATCCCTGGCCTCTACCCACTTGATGCCAGTTGCAACCATCTATCTACCCATGCCCCCAAGTTATGACAACAGAAAATGCCTTCAGACATTGCCAAACGTCCCCTGGGGGGCAAATTAACACCAGGTTGAGAACTATTCCCAAGGTGTAGAGCTTAGTCACCGAGAAAAAATTTAAACAATATAGCTCTTCCTGAAAGGTAATCACTGCCAGCTCTTTAGCATATATACTTACAGATTATGCTCTTTCTATGGACAGTCCTCATTTTTCATGGTTCTAATCTGTGTGAATTTCAGTTACTATGGTTTGGTTAAATAACATCAGTCCTCGAAGAATTTGGCTCAAATTTGAGTTGCCAGGATATATGTATTACAAGTAACTGCATGCAGTACAAACTTTGCTGTTAGCTCTTCAGTCCACAGATCACTATGTACATAACAGATGCTCTTCATGGTCACTGACTAATCATGTTTCTTCTTGAAGAGTCTTTTGGTGATTGGTCACTGCCTATCTGTTCACTTCACACGCAGACAGGAAAGTGTGTAGTTGTGTTGCCTCCCTGTCTCCTAGTGAGAAACTCGTGACATTTTACAAAAATGGACAATTGATGAGGGAATTGGCCAAGAAAGATGAAATTTCAAATGAAATGTGGTAATGCTGGTAGTGAATTTCAAGCCAAACGTAATGGAATTATATAGACTAGATAGCTGACTGTGGGAATGTCAACACTGTCACTGTTCAAGACTACATATACAGCCTGGGAAACTCAGTGAAGGTGGCATGTCAGCATAAATGAGGAAAGTGGTTTGATGAAAAGGATGAAGAGGTCCCAGAGGAGGTGACACTGCAGAAGGAAACTTCACATTAAAGGCACCTTGAAGATATTTCACAACATCGAAAGTGCAAAGGATAAAACGTTAGAAGCAGATCCAAACTTAGAAAGGAGTATGACAATTTGCAAAGGCATATGAAAGATACTCATTCCATATTGGATGTTAAACAACAAGAAGGCAAGTGCTGTTCAAATTACTCTGGATAAGGTTTTTACAAAGCAATAAAACACTCATTCTCAGTGACTCTAATGTTTTAGAGTATACACAATAAATAGTTTTACTGTTTTCTCATTTCCTTATTTATAATTTGACAGCAAGAGAGTTTTTAATGTTTTGACCGAAATTTTTAAATGTCGTGGAAAAATCATAATTTTCCTCATTGGTGATTAGGGTTGCTTTGCATGGTCATTTTTATGGTTCCGCATTACTGTGCAAAGCAAGAGCTGCCTGTATTTACAAAAAGTGTGGGTGAATACACATGCACACATGCACACACCATGCTTTTTCTCTTTTTAAAACATTTTACAAAATGGGATCAGACTATATGTATCAAATTACAACTTGCTTTTTTCATGGAAGTTTTTTTTGTTTGTTTGTTTGTTTGTTTTTGAGACACCATCTCTCTGTCGCCCAGGCTGGAGCGCAGTGGCGCTATCTCAGCCCACTGCAACCTCCACCTCTCGGAGTTCAAGTGATTCTCATGCCTCAGCCTCCCAAGTAGCTGGTACCACAGGTGCGTACCACCACACCCAGCTAATTTTTGTGTTTTTAATAGAGATGGGGTTTCGCCATGTTGGCTAGGCTGGTCTCGAACTCCTGACCTCAAGTGACCCACCCACCTCGGCCTCCCAGAGTGCTGGGATTACAGGTGTGAGCCACTGTGCCCAGCCAGAAGAATGTATTTTTGAAGAACTTTTGATTTCAGTATGTCTTAATCTACCTCATTCTTTTTTTTTTTTTTTTTTTTTATGTTTTTGAGACAGGTCTCACTCTGTCCCCCATGCTGGAGTTCAGTGGTGTGATCTCTGCTCAGTGAAACCCCTGCCTCCCAGGCTCAAGTGATCCTCATGTCTCAGCTTCCCAAGTAGCTAGGACTACTGGCCTGTGCCACCACACCCAGCTAGTTTTTTCTGTATTTTATTCGTAGAGACAGGGTTTTGCCATGTTGCCCAGGTTGGTCTCAAACTCCTGGGCTCAAGTGATCCATCTGCCTCGGCCTCTCAAAGTGCTGGGATTACAGGTGTGCGTCACTGTGCCTGGCCCCGTTGTCTATTAACAGCTGTTTAGTTTATTTCCTTCTGTCCCCTAATTTGAAATAATGCTAAAGTGAATATTTTTGATGGATACTATCATAAACTCCATTTAATCGATGAGTTCAATGGAGATTTAGAATGTGAAGTAACTGGCTAAGGTCAGGCAGCTACTAAGCTTTAGAGCTGGTGTTTGAACTTGGGGCAGTGTAATTTCAGAGCCCTTGCAATCACAATGCTTTACACCTTCTCTTCCTTGTTCTTAGAAGCAGCTTTTAACAACGACAACAAATAATAAAAAAAAGATCTTACTGAGTCAGGTACAATTCTAAGTGCAATTATATTGTTATTATTCACTAAATAACAACCTGCGAGTTAGATAATGTTGTTATCCCTGTATTACAGTGAAGGAAACCGGAGGTATAAGAAGGTTAGGAAAGGTGCTCAGGGCCCACAGCAGTTTAATGGAGGAGCTGGGACTGCCCCCATGCAGCCTGGCTTCAGAACCTTGGCTCTCATTCATGTTATAAAGATGTGACTAGAGAAAAGTCTCTTTCATCCTGTGCTGTTGAAGATGGGTTTTTTTGTTGTTGTTGTTGTTAGTTTTGGCGTATATTTTCTCCTACTGTAATCTTTTAAAAATCTACTACCTAGCACAGACTGCCTCTCCCATTGTTTTCTTAGGGGGTGTCACTTGGAAGTTTGATAAGCTTACTGCCTACTATGTCTTTAGTCAGCTTGTTGGTAAAATATTAATACTAGGCAAAGCCAGTCTGGTGTGGTGGCTCATGCCTGCTGTAATCCCAGTATTTTGGGAGGCCGAGGTGGGTGAATGACTTGAGGTCAGGAGTTTGAGACCAGCCTGGCCAATGTGGTGAAACCCCATCTGTACTAAAAATATAAAAATTTGCTGAGTGTGGTGGTGGGCGCCTGTAGTCCCAGCTACTCAGGAGGCTGAGGCACGAGAATCTCTTGGACCCGGGAGGTGGAGATTTCAGTGAGCTGAGATCGTGCCACTGCATTCCAGCCTGGGCGACAGAATGAGACTCCATCACACACACACACACACACACACACACACACACACACACACACTAATAGGTTTGCCACTGAAGTTGTTCTTTGGGTTTAGTCAACAAGTAGATACTTATTGAACACCTCCTAAATGCCATGTACCGGGTCTAGGATTTGAAATCAAAAGATGAACAAGACATTGTCCCAGCTTCCAAGAGGTACATGGTCCACAGTGAAAAGAGAAACCGTTTTATAAATCCCACTGGTGAGTGCTGAAGTAGGAGTTTAGCAAGAGTCTGTGGGCACAGAGAGGCAGAGGGGCTGACTCTGCCTGGAAGTGGTCAGAGAGGCTTCACAGAGGAGGTGACATTGCCATGGTTCTTACAGACGTGAAGTCATGACAAGGCCTGGCTTGCCTGAGGTCAGGAAGTGCATTGTAGCTTCAATATAGGGGATGTGTTGGGAGGTTAGGGTAGCGATGATGTGGATAGGAGCTAGGGAAGACTAAGTTAGGGAATTTGGATTTTATCATGTCAGCCAGTGGAGATGTTTAAGGAGGAAAATGTCCTGCTCAGCTTTGCCTTTCAGCATGTGACCCAAGATGTACTGGGATGGAGTACGTCTCCCTTCTAGAAACCAGTTAGAAAACACAGAAGAGTAGGCCAGGCATGGTGGCTCATGCCTGTAATCCTAGTACTTTCGGAGGCCGAGGTGGACAGATCACTTGAGGTCAGGAGATTGAGACCAGCCTGGCCAACATGTGAAACCCCGTTTCTACCAAAAAATAAAAAGTTAGCCAGGCGTGGTGGTGTATGTCTGTAGTCCCAGCTAGTCAGGTGCTTGAGGTGGGAGAATTGCTTGAACCCAAGAGGCGGAGTTTGCAGTGAGCTGAAATCATGCCACTGCACTCCAGCCTGGGGGACAGAATGAGACCCTGTCTCAAAAAGAGAAAGCACACAAGAGAAAAGGGGCTGCAACCCAGTAAGCGATAGCAGGACTGGAAAAGGAAAGATGGATTTGGGAGATCTTCCCAGAGACAAAATTGGATTGCTTCTGTGGGTGACGGAGGGAGAGAGTCTGAGGATGAGTACTCAAGATTTATATCTGGGAGCCTGGCTAGATAGTGATGTCATTGCCGTTTACTGAGATCCGGGAGCAAATTCAAAGGGGCCGTGAGTTCAGTTTGGTGCCTGTTCAGCAGCCTGTCCTAGATCCACCAAACAGCACTTTATTACTGGCCATTTATAACAACTGCAAATATTATCTAAATGCTTTGTCATCTCACTGCCTCCTCCTTTGTCATCCCTAAGGTCTGGGCAGGAGACTGTGTTCATATACTTCATAGAGGTCCAGACCCCTTGCGTCTGGCATTCCTTTGGTCTATAATTCAGTAAACTCTGCTAAAAAGGAAACGAGACTAGCTTGCTGTGGCCTCTTAAGCGACCCAGGGTAGCTTGTGATGGTTCAGATTATGATTTGTTCTAGAGCTTTTCCAGAGGCAGATGTTGAGGAGTTTATCCTATTTGTCCCCTTCCCTTTAAACAAACAAAAGTGCCGGCTGGACGCAGTGGCTCATGCTGGTAATCCCAGCATTTTGAGAGGCTGAGGCAGGCGGATCACCTGAGGTCAGGAGTTCGAAACTAAGCCTGGCCAGCATGGTGAAACCCTGTCTCTACTTAAAAAAAAAAAAATTAGTTGGGTGTGGTGGTGGGAGCCTATAATCCCAGCCACTCGGGAGGCTGAGGTGGGAGAATTGCTTGAATCTGGGAGGTGGAGGTTGCAGTGAGCTGAGATCACACCATTGCACTCCAGCCTGGGTAGCAGAGTGAAACTCGGTCACAAAAAAAAAAAAAAAAAGAAGTCCCAACCCCCCAGTTTTTTATATCCTCTTAGTCATCATAGTTTATTAACAGTTTTGTTTACATATTGCTTCTTTTTCCCTCTTGGCTAGACTGTGAACCTTGAAGCCCTGTGAGCTTGGTCTAGTGCCTGGAGCATTGTGGGTACCAGGTTTCGAGAGAATGTGTGCTGCCAGAAAGCAGATCTTTGCCACCTCCTCTCCCCTCAGCTCCTGAACCACTGCCAGCAGTGGTTCTGGAATCAACCTGTACTTTCCTTCTGCATCCTGGGATGTAATTCTGGGTGATTGTAAGTTGGTTTATGGTCTAGCTTAGAATTGAGGCTTCTCTTGAGAGAGAGCATGTGTGTAAATGTTTAGCTTGTTCTAGTCTGTGGAGCATTCTCCTTCATAGAAAAGATGGGAAATACTGGAGATGAAAATTCTCCATTCTCTGTCATTTTGTGTGTTAGAGTCTCTGTCCCCATCCCAGGGCCACTTCCTCCCTGGTTCTTCTTATGGCTTTGGATGTAGCTTGAAGACATGCTCCTAGCATTTTCACAAGCTCTGCTTGTTGTGTTTAGTGAGCGCAGACTACTCCCTTCGGGCCTGTCCTGGCTCATGGGCAGTTGCTCGTGTCTTTGCACACATCCTTTACTGTCTCAGCTCTTCACTTCTCCCTGACATTTGTGGCTGCCTCCTCCTGGTTTCTTCTTTAAGCGATTATTGTGTTTTAGATGATCAGAATTCACTTTTTAGAGACTTGGACCTTGTCTTTCAAAATGCATTCCCTTTTGGGATCTCTGCCCATCATACTCCTTGGTCTCAACATCTAAATATTGGTTTTTTTTTTCTTTTTCTTTCTTTCTTTTTTTTTTTTTTTGAGATAGGGTCTCACTCTGTTGCCCAGGCTGAAGTGCAGTGGTACGATCATTGGCTCACTGCAGCCTTGACCTCCTGGGCTCAGTGATCTTCCTGCCTCAGCCTCCTGAGTAGCTGGGGCCACAGGCTAGTGCCACCATGCCCTGCTAATTTTTTAAATTATTCATAGAGACGGGGTCTCCCTGTGTTGCCCAGGCTGGTCTTGAACTCCTCCTTCTCCTTTTTGTATCCTCTTAGTCATCAAGCCATCCTCCTGCCTCAGCCTCCCAAAGTGCTGGGATTTCAGTGTGATCCACTGCGCCTGACCTGAATATTGGTTTTTTTGAAGTCTAGGCTAAACAACTGTTTTTGTCTCAGTTTTTTTTTTTTTAATTTCCCTCCTTTGAACTCTGAATTGACAAGCTTACTTCCTCCCAATGTGGTGTTCTTGTTATTATTGTTTTTGCTAGCTGAAGTATTTTTTTTTTTTTTAAACATAATTTACTAGGTTTTTCTTCCTGGCCAGAAGTAAGTTCAGGGTAATAGTTCCCTTCCTTGTATCTTCAGCTGTGTGAGAGGTAATGTAGAGTGAGAATTTATTTATCAGGTGCCCTGCTCGTAGCAGAAGGCATGACCTCGACTTCTCTCTCACAGTGACCTTGTGTTTGTGTTGGTGGCTTGAACTCACTCTTGTGTCTGGGCCATTTCTCTCACTGTGTAGGAAAGAGTGGTTCCTGTCTTCTCCCTGGCCATGTAGTCTGCTGTGTGTCACCATAACAATCATCTATCTTCCGGTTCTTTTTCCTTCTCTCCTCACCCAGTTGTCTCCAGTCTTAGGCGTGTGGAATTGTGTACTGGGTGGGGGATGTGTGTGTGTGGGCCGCCCTCTTGATTTGTAGGATCCTTCTCTTCCTCCACATTCTCTGTCAACTCTCCTCCACCCCCTGTGAGATCTGTGGACTCAGGTATACGTTGCTGTGAGTCTCATTCTGCTCAGCTGGGGTGATGAAGGTGAGATTGCTTTTGTCGCTTCAAAGTAAAATTTTAGATTTGCTTTGGCAGCCGCACAGGGTCGTATGCATGGGGGCTGCTTAGGCCAGAGGCGCAGTGTTCCTGACCTCCTTCCGTCTTACTTTCTCTTGCTAGTTTGTCCATCTCTGTGGATTTTTTAAAGTAGATACTAGATACCTAGATACTACTAAGAACATGATCTTTCTCTTCTTGCCACTTGGATTTTAGCTTAAAGCCAACTTGGAACATTTAGGGTGTTTCCTTCCTACCACTGTCTGCCTGGTCTCCTAGGGAAAGATGCCTTGTATCTTGTTCTGGTGTACAGTCTGCCCATTTAATTGGTAAGTGTTTATTGTGACTCTTCTCTACTGGGCTCTGGCCCCAGGCCTGATGCGAATAGGGCAGGCCTGTGAACAGAGCAAAGACGAGTCACTTAGGAGGGGACGAGAGAGGCCAGCGGTAAACTAATATTACCAGCTCAGGGTTTATTTGTCAAAGCCTCCTTTGCTGTGAATAAAAGGTTAGATCTGAATTGGGTCTGAGTCCTGGCTTTATTACCTACTAGCCATGTGGCCTTGGGCAAATTATTAATACTTCCTTGGGCCTTGGTTGCCGCACCTGTACGATGGAGTCAGCAATGGATCCTGTTCTGTAGGGCTGCTAGGAAGCTTAAATATAGCAATATTTGCTATATATAAAGTGCACCTGGTACATAATTGATGCGGTTGAAATGAAAATTCCTCTTTCTCTTTCAGTGCCATTTGCTGGAAGAAACAGAAGAAATATCTCTGTCCCCATCTTTCAGTTTCCTACCCAAGACTCCTGTGTGGTTGACATCACTGCTGTGTGCAGTGTTCATGTCCATATAAGTCAGAAGTGGCTTGCAGCAGTGGTTTGGGGCTTTGGGGCCTCTGCTCGCTCCTTATCAATTCTTAGGGTTACATCCTCTGGGAAGATGCCAGGCCTGGTCAAGTGTGGCCTCTGACCTAGAGTTATGCAAGGCCTCTCTTCCTCCTGTGGCCAGTGTGAAATTTCTCATCTGTGCTCTCCTGCCTCTAGCAGGAAGGTTGGCCTACATTTGGGGCACATCTCTGTCACTGTCTCAGGCCAGGGGTTCAAATATAAGACCTGAATCATACTGCACCTCAGAACCCAAACCCTTTTACTTAATTTTTTTTAAAAAATTTCATTCAGATGGTAAAGGTTCAAACAATACATAGAGATATAAAACAGAAAGAAAAAAAAATACACGCCTCTCTCTAGTACCTATTCCCCAGTAGTCAACACTGCTACCTTTTTTTTGCAGGGGAGGTAAATTCCTCCAGAAAAAAACTTAAACATCTACAATTTCATATATCCTCTCCCCTCTTCCCTAAAAAACAAAACAATAACAACAAAACTATAGAAATGGGATTATGCTATATATTCTGTTCAGTACTTTTTTGTTTTTGAAAATTTAAAAAATATGCAAAAGAAGAAAATGTCATCCATATTACTACCACTTATAATTAACCACTAATTAACTTTTAGGTGTGTTTGCTTCTTGTCTTTATGAATATACTTTAAAAGCTACTTAAGTAAGGTGGAAGCAGTTCTGTTTAAAAAATTAGGATGTTGCCCGGGCGCTGTGGCTTACGCCTGTAATCCCAGCACTTTGGGAGGCCGAGGCGGGCAGATCACGAGGTCAGGAGATCGAGCCCATCCTGAATAACATGGTGAAACCCTGTCTCTACTAAAAAATACAAAAAATTAGCCAGGCATGGTGGTGGGCGCCTGTAGTCCCAGCTACTTGGGAGGCTGAGGCAGGAGAATGACGTGAACCCGGGAGGCAGAGCTTGCAGTGAGCCAAGATCATGCCACTGCAGCTCCAGCCTGGGCGACAGAGCAAGACTCCATCTCAAAAAAAAAAAAAAAAAAAAAATAGGATGTTAAAGATAAAGCCAAAGTATTATATCATCTTGGTCCTTATCTGCTTTCCCATTTAATAGCATCCTGCTCTCCCCGTCGCCGTGGATGGGGAGCTGCCTCTTTCTTCTACGACACCGCACGTTTTCCATTGTATGGATTTGCTGTCATTTCATTTATCTGACCACCCTCTTATTGGTAGGCATTTAGGTTATTACCAGTTTTTTTGCCATTAAAATGCTTTATGAATATAATGTGTAGGATGGTTTCTTGCTGGGTAATTACTGGGTCCAAGGTTTGAACATTTACAATTTTGATAGACATGGCCAAATACCTCCCCAAAAATACTAGTTTATTTCTCTACCAACTGAATGTGTAAGAGAGTGCCTTTTCTCCCCAGATCTTTGCATAAACCTGGGAGTTTTATTTTGGTCAAACATTAAAATTTTTTTTTTGCCAGTCTGGTGAAATTATCATCTTTTTTATAAACATTTCTCTTTGAGCTACACTGAGTGTCTTCCATTCAGCCATCTGTGTTTCTCTTGCTTTGAACTGCCTGTTCTTATCGTTTGGCCATTTTTATATTAGGTTGTTGATCTTCAACAATTGATTTGCCTGAGTTAAGTTAGCCTTTTATCCATCATGTGTTGGAAATATTTTAAAGATTTGTCATCTACAGTGCGATTTTTAGGCCTCTTGACTTTTTGTTGAGCCCTAGGCTTTTGTGACTGCCTGTGACAGCTCTGGAGAGGGGGCCGACAGGCACAGTGGCCCGCAGTCGAGCCAGGCCCCATCTTCTGGGCAGTGACGCGTGGTTGTTTTAAGGCTTTTGGTACTGGGATTCCCCGTTGTAAGTTTTAGCTTTGTTTTGGGTAGGGACTTTTCCCCATCATATTAATGAACATTAATAACAAATAGAGACTTGCTTTTGCCTCCCAACCAAATGTTTGGGAATGTGTGCACCCACGTGAAGGGTCTGTGTGATATCTTTATCTCATCAACCTTCTAAGGCTTTTAAAACCTGTTGTTAGATTTATGTTTAGATCATGGTTCTAGGGGAGAACCATCGTCACTCCTCATTGAGCTTTGCAGAGGCTCTGAAAGGAGGACATACTCTCTTCCCCAATCAATGTAGAGGAACGTCAGTAGTTCAGCCAAGATTGCTCTATCTGCCACCTCTTATGCTTCCAAGCTGGGCTAATTGAGAAGTGTGACATCTTGCTCCAGCCTATAAGCAGCTGTCTGTAATTTTGAGAGATGAGAAGGATTCTCCCTTAAACCATTGCTGCTTTTGTGGCAGCATCTTATTTCTTTCCTTTGCAGCACAAATCACAGTGTATAATTAAAACTATTTTCTTTGAGCTTGTTTTTGGTGTACCTCCTGCACTAAAATGTTAAGTTCTGTGGCGGTCACGGGGCTTATTTGTCATGTTCTCTATTATACCCTTGGCATCCTCTAAACCAGTGTGTGGCACATGCTAGGCACTCCGGGGTTTCACTGAGTGATCCATTCTGTTAGGATGGGATCAAGTGCTCATGTGTCTCCTCCTGTGTCCCTCTCTGGCTCCAGATCTTCCACCTGGCAGAGTTTCCGGAAGCCCCAGAGATATGCTCCATGGCCATAGGGCCTGAGACGTGGATGGCTGCCCTCTGACTAAAATTTAGAGAGCTAAGCTTGTCTCTTTAAAAAGTAACATATACTAATTGTAAATCACCTAGAAAATACAGACATAATAAAGGAAATTAAATCTGTGATTCTGTCTTTCAGAGATCATTACCATTAACAACTCATTGAGTCTTAATGCCTTTATTGTTTTTGTTTTGTTTTGTTTTGTTTTGTTTTTGAGACAGAGTCTCACTCTGTTGCCCAGGCTGGAGTGCAGGCTCACTACAACCTCCGCTTCCTGGGTTCAAGTGATTTTCCCACCTCAGCCTCCCAAGTAGCTGGGATTGCTTACAGGTGCGTGCCACCATGCCTGGCTAATTTTTTTGTATTTTTTGATAGAGACAGGCTTTCAGCATGTTGGCCAGGCTGGTCATGAACTTCTGACTTCAAGTAATCTGCCCCCCTTGGCCTCCCAAAGTGCTGGGGTTATAGATGTGAGCCACTATGGCCAGCCCCTATGCCTTTATTTTTTTTATATACAGATCCAATAAATATCCATAGAGCACTGAGTTTATGCTGTACATAAGGGTTTGTAACTTTCAGTTACCATCAGACATGTTTTGATAATGAAATTTAAAGAAAGTACACATTGGGATTTGGGATGCAGAAGAAAAAATAGGATAGTATTCTAGACAATGACAGTGATGATACCTGAGAATCTAGTAGACACTCAGGAATCCACATTTCCCCATTTAATATTCATCTGAAACACCATTTCAGTGGCTGTAGATTGTGTAGCTAAACTCACTTTTACATAAAACAACCTCTGTTACTTATCTCTGGGCCTTAAGTTTGTGATATAGTTTGGATGTTTGTTTCTCCCAAATCTCATGTTGAAGTGTAATCCCCAGTGTGGGAGGTGGGGCCTGGTGGGAGGTGTTTGGGCCATGGGGGTAGGTCCCTCGTGAATGGCTTGGTGCTGTTCTTAAGATAGTGAGTTCTTAGGAGATCTGGTTGTTTAAAAGTGGGTGGCACCCCACCCCTGTTGCTCCTGCTCTTGCCATGTGACATCCCTGCTCCCCCTTCACCTTCCACCATGATTGTAAGCTTCCTGAGGCCTCACCAAAAGCAGATACTAGTGCCAAGCTTGTACCAGCTGCAGAACTATAAGCCAGTTATATCTTTTCTTTACAGATTACCCAGTCTCAGGTATTTCTTAATAGCAATGCAAAGTAGACTAATAAGTTTGTTAGCTATTTCTAGTAAAGGTAAATAACTCTTGAGATGTATATTTTCTTAAAGATACGTCTATGATTAATACCTGAGGATGAAATTCTAAAAGTAGAATTTTAACATCAAAGGGTTTGCACTTTAAGGCATTTTCAGCCTCCATTTCTGGCTGTTGCTGTTGTGGACAGTCTTGGGCAGATTTTGAACTCTTTGCCTTACTGTGGGGTGGTGGAAAGGAGGCTTTAGGAGCAGCCAGAGCAGGGTTCAAACTCCAGCCCTGCCAGGGACAACTGGCCAAAAGGTCGTGAACTAATGACTCAGTGAGTTTTCTCATTTATAAAATAGGATGTTTCCTCCCAGGGTGGGGGTGAAGTGGGTGAGATGACCCATTTGAAGCACAGTGGACCCTTGAACAATGCAAAGGTTGGGCAGTCAATTCACATAAAACTTTTGATCTGAGTTGGGCAGATCACCTGAGATTAGGAGTTTGAGACCAGCGTGACCAACATGGAGAAACCCTGTCTCTACTAAAAATACAAAATTAGCCGGGCATGGTGGCACACGCCTGTAATCCCAGCTACTCGGGAGGCAGAGGCAGGAGAATCACTTGAACCCGGGAGGTGGAGGTTGCGGTGAGCCGAGATCGCACCATTGCACTCCAGCCTGGGTAATGAGAGTGAAACTCTATTTCAAAAAAAAAAAAAGGCCAGGCACGGTGGCTCATGCCTGTAATCCCAGCACTTTGGGAGGCCGAGGCGGGCGGATCACGAGGTCAGGAGATCGAGACCATCCTGGCTAACACGGTGAAACCCCGTCCCTACTAAAAATAGAAAAAATTAGCCAGGCGTGGTGGTGGGCACCTATGGTCCCAGCTACTCGGGAAGCTGAGGCAGGAGAATGGCGTGAACCCGGGAAGCGGAGCTTGCAGTGAGCGGAGATCGTGCCACTGCACTCCAGCCTGGGCAACAGGGCGAGACTCTGTCTCAAAAACAAAAACAAAAACAAAAAAAAACAAAGAAACAAAAGAAAACTTTTGATTCCCCTAGAACTACTATTAAATAATAGCCTACTGTTGACCCGAAGCCTTACTGATTACATAGTTGATTAACACATATTTTGTCTGTTGCGTGTATTATATCTTTATTCTTGAATAAAATAAGCTAAAGAAAATAAGCATCGTTAAGAAAATCACTTTGAGTAGGCTGAGGAAGAGGAGGAGGAAGAGGAAGGGTTGGTCTTGCTGCTGCAGGGCTGGCAGAAGTGGAAGAAAATCCCTGTATAAATGGATCCACGCAGTTCAAACCTGGGTTGTTCAAGGGCCAACAGTACTTAGCAGCCATTTAGCACAGAGCACTGCCAGCCCCCCTCGGCCTGCAGCCTGCTCCAGCACCTTGCTAAGAGGTTGCTGAGGCTCACCTGCAGCAGCTGCCCTCCCGAGTCCTCTTTCCTTTACACCCCTCAGAGCACCCGGGCCAGCCATCCTCCATGTGGTGCAGCAGAGGCGCCGGTGGTCCGGGAACCAGAGTGGGTGGCCCTGGCCTGGAGGCACGGTGGGTTAGTGTGTGACACACGTGGCTTTCCCCCGACCCCCAGCTGCCTCCTGGGAGTGAAGAGGAGGTCTTATTTGCCAACACATACCGCACCACACACCCACAACACACTTGGTGCCAGAATCAGCCTTTTGCATCGCTCTTGGCGCTGAATCAGAGTCTGTCTTGGGGAGGGATGTCTTCCTTCTCTCATTACATGCGCCCAGCTTAGGTGGTGTAGTGAGGGAGTGTACAGGGCTGGGATGCCACAGCCTGCTTTCCTCCCCGTGTCCTGGGGTCCCCCGTCTGTCCAGTGCCCAGAGCTATTAATAACACCTTCATTGAAATGGGTGTAATGGAATCCCAGTTGCCCCCCCCAGTGGGACTCCAACACATGGGGAGTGGGGAGCAGAATAATAATAGCAAACACGGATGCAGTACTTATTACGTGCCAAGCGTTATTCTTAGTTATTTACATCATGCACATCTATTAACTCATCTTGTATAGCAAGCCCATGAGGTGGGGACTATTACTGTCCTATTAATGGGTAAGGGAACCAAGGCACAAAGGGGTTGGAAACTTTTCCCAGTTCACATAGCTAGTGAGCAGTGGCGCTTGTGAAGGGGGTCCTCCTGAGGGCCTGGGGCCTGCTCCTTCCCAGTCTTGTCTTCATGTCCACCTTGCTGACGAGTGGCACATCAGGCCCTGGGTGCCGGCTGCTTTCCTGTCCTCTGGCTCAGCCAGGCTTCTAATGCTGACCACTCCTGAGTCTTTCCACGTGGCTCCACAATGGCAGACTTGCAGGAGGAGATGAGGGGAACCATGCATACCTTGAATAGGGGGAGGGGTCCTGTCCTTCTTCCCCTCAGGTGCTGGAAGAGACAGAGAGGCATGGGACTGTATTTAGGCAGCTCCCGCAGCTCCCTCACTGCCGCTGTCCTAGAGCTTCCTTCCCAGGCAATGCGCTCTGTGGCTTGGGCCCCTGCCCCTGCCACAGTTGGCAGGGGGCCTTGCCTGTGGCGTTGCAGCTGAGCACACGCAATCATTAACCTTTTCTACGTGTAAGAGAATTTCAGGCACAAACTGTGGGGCTGAGGTGAGTCACAATGTTGGACCGGGGCTTAGTTTGGGCTTAAAATATTTCACAATTCCTCCAGGCATTCTTTGACTAATGATCTATGGCTTTTTAGTGGGAAGACCCTTCCTTCTTCTAGTCTCCAGTCCTCAGAGCATGGTTCAGGGCCTGTTGGCCTTCACTGCCCATGGCCATGCCCATGCCCAAGGAGCAGGGGCCTTGGCTTCTGGGTGGACCTGCCGCCTCGCTCTGCTGGTGGCCTCTGGCAGTGCCCTAGGAGTCCTGCTTTCCTTCCCTGTCTCTTCTTTGGCTTGGAGTGCAGGCCACCTCCCCTGCTGTTCTTTACTTAGCCCTGTACTCCAGATTAGCACATTCTTGGTTTCCTCTCTCCAGGCCTTCTGCGCTCCACACTTGTCCACAGAGCCACTTTGGCACTTCAGGGCTGTGCCCCCAGGACGTCAGCCAGCCTGCCTCGCCCATCTGAAGGGCTTTCATTGCTTGGGTTGATTTTCTTATCCAGTCAGGGATTTCTGATAAACATGTGCCTGGATGGATGTCAATGACCAGTCCTTTTTTTTTTTTTTTTTGTTAAATTTAATTTAAGTTCTGGAATACAAATGCAGGATGTGCAATGACCAGTCTTCATGGGAAATTCTTGCTAAGTTTCTCTAAGAAATTTAAAATACTACCTTTTCCAATTTATTTCAGGATGGAAAGGACAGCTCACCCTCAGTCACTGGGGGAGAGAGTTTAGTAGGGAGAAGAAGCAACAGAATGAGGGGGTGTTAGCTCAGAAGTTCCTAACCACTAGGTGAGGGAAGGAAGAGGGGAGGGAGTAAACAGAAATCAAATTAGATCTTGCCCATTAGAAACTCAGTTAGGTTGGGCAGATAAGGCATAAATATGCAAAATGGTAAATTTTTTCAAAGTGGAAACTACCCTATATAGAGTTTCTGAAGCACCTTCAAGGATATTATTTCACGAAGTTGAATCTAATTTTACAGATGAGGAAACCCTTTCCAGAAAGATAGGTGGGCTTGCATGACACAAGCTAGGAAGTGCAGAACTGGGATTCAAAATGCATGCGATTGCAAAGCCTAGGTTCACTGTGCTACATCCGTCTCCTCTAATGGGTAGAGAGTTTGTGCAAGTCTGGAAGTGTGATGTGAACCTAGCCCTTCTTGCACAAACTCTCCTTTGCCTTGTGCCACGCACTCCTAACGTGTTCAGGGCAGAAAGTGCGGAAGTTGCAGTGAGCGCTTGGAATTCAGGGGGTGCTAAGGAGCATGCATTTAGATTTGGATCTTGGTGCATCCTCACTTAGCACAGCTCTGGTTGGCAGATGTCCTGGTGGTCGTCACTGGGCTGAAGACAGAAACCCAGCCTACAATCTTGGTGATAACTTGTGCTGGTTACATCCACATGCTCCAAGCTCAACTCAGTGGTGACGGAGGAACCCCCCTGTACTGTGGCATTAATGGTACTGGTTGACAGTGATGAATGCCTTTCTGATAATAAAGCACTTTTAGAGGTATTATTTCATTAGATGCTCATAATGTTTCTATGAGGGGGAGGCTAGGCAGGTATCATCGCTCCTAAATGCATGTGGCACAGGCTCTGAAAGGTAGACCTCTCTGTGAGGCTGTGCAAGAAGAAATTGACAAATTTCAGACTGGGCCAAGTCTTCCCTGATTGTAACTCTACAACCAGGCATTGCTTCTGAGTAAATCTGACAACTTTGATTCTTCTCCTCTGGGCTCCAGTTCCTGTGTGCCTGTAGGGGGCGATCGAGGTTCTTTCTGCTTGGCTGCTCTGGAAACCTTGTTCCTCCTGAACCCTTTGAATTTAGCACTCTTACAGCATGTAATCTCACTGGATTTTAAGGATTTTCTGTGTCTCCCCTCATATCTTCTTCTGCCCCCCACTAGCCTAGGCTTTTCCAGATCAGGACTGCTCTATTTGGTTTTGACATTCAGTGCAATGCATGGCCCATAGTAGGAGCTCAGTAAATGCTTGCTGGATTGAATTATATACAAAGGAAATTGGCCAGTGCCTTCTCTTGCTCCCCTTAGAGCATGGGAAAGTAAACTTTTTTCCTGGTACATCCAAATGAATGAAGTTGAAGGCTGGGCATGGTGGCTCACACCTGTAATCCCAGCACATTGGGAGGCCAAGGTGGGGTATCACTTGAGACCAGGAGTTCGAGACCAGCCTGGCCAACATGGCGAAACCCGGTCTCTACTAAAAATACCAAAAAATTAGCCAGACGTGGTGGCTCACACCTGTAATCCCAGCTACTCAGGAGGCTGAAGTGGGAGAATTGTTTGAACCCGGGAGGCGGAGGTTACAGTGAGCCAAGATTGTGCCACTGCACTCCAGCCTGGGCAACAGAGCGAGACCCTGTCTCAGAAACAAACAAACCCTAATGAAGTTGAAAGTGGCAGAACTCAAGACCCATGAGGTGTCCTCATATGGCCACAAGGTGGCAGTGTGACCTCCTGGGAACCTTGCCTCCTGCAACTATTGGCTCCGGCCACCTGTTACTCCATGGGAGAGACCGAGTTATCTAGTCATTGATTCCTTCTAGTCACCTGTTTGGGGAATTGCCTCTGCAAAGTCAGTCTGAGAAATCTTGGCTTCCAGCCTCCTCTAAAAGCTGGGTGGTGTGGTGGAAAGACTTGGTCTTTGGAGTCTACCAGGCCTGGATTCCAACCTTGGCTCTGCCTTTTCTCAGAAACTTAGCCTTGGGCATGCTACTTCTCTGAGCCTCAGCTTCCCCATCCTGTAAAATGGCAAATGTACAGTTAGGAAAAACCCAACATATCATGGGCCATAGCATAAATGTATGCCAGCATTCTTGTTGGAAATGCTCATTTGTCCTTCCCTTCCCTCTGCAAGCTGGCTCCATCATGGCCATCTGATCTTATTTGCAAGCTTCAGACACTTTCCAGCAGGTTCTTAGGCCTCCCTGCTGTATCACCCCAGCTCCACTCCATCTCGGTCAGTCAGCACCTGCTTCCCACGTTTCCCTCTGCCTTCATGCCTTCCCTCTGCCTGTCCATTTCCTTCCCAGCATGTCTCTTGGACACCCCAGCCCTCTGAATGTCCAAAGCAGTTGGAGTGTGGACTGTGTAGGGCTCATCTTGACTTCCCATGAAGATGCTAAATCTGTGAGTGTCCTTGTCTTAATTATTTTGGCACCTGCGCTTGCACTTAGACAATTGGTGATAAAAATGACAGCTATTAGTGAGTGCATGTCAGATACTCTGTGAGGTGCTTTGTGGAAATATTTCATTTAATCCTCACAACAAATCTGTGAAACAGAAGCCATTATCCATCCCCACTTTACAAAGGAAGGGTAGATCAGGATGCTTTTGGCTCCAAGCAATAGACAATTTCATGAAAAGCAGCTTAAACAGTAAGAAGAGTTTATTATCTTGTCAAAAAGAAGTACTGAGGGATCCCTGGTGATGGCAGCGAGGATCCAGGTGATTGCCATTTCTCCTGGTTGCCTTCCTCAGTGCATTGGTTTATCCTCTTAGGCCCCCCTTACTGGTAATAATGTGACTGTCATGGTCCCAGGTGCCATATGCAGGAGAGATGATGTACATTTCTTGTGCTCCCTTTAAGAAGCCTCTTAGCAGATTTCTTTTTTTTTTGAGATGGAGTCTCGCTCTGTTGCCCAGGCTGGAGTGCAGTGGCGTGATCTCGGCTCGCTGCAAGCTCCACCTCTCAGGGTTCACGCCATTCTCCTGCCTCAGCCTCCTGAGTAGCTGGGGCTACAGTCGCCTGCCACCATGCCTGGCTAATTTTTTTTGTATTGTTAGTAGGGACGGGGTTTCACCGTGTTAGCCAGGATGGTCTTGATCTCCTGACCTCGTGATCTGCCTGCCTCGGCCTCCCAAAGTGCTGGGATTACAGGCACGAGCCACCGTGCCCGGCAGCAGATTTCTTACAAGGCTCTTGGCCAGTTGAGTTGTAGGCTTGTTCCCAAGCCAGTCACTAGCAAAGGGACTGGAATTAATGAGACTGGCTTAGACAGGTCAAGATTGAACCCCTGAGGCTGGTGAGAAGCCAGCCTCCTTTAATACCCCTAGCCAATTGGTCCAGGGAGAAGAAGGGGCATCAGTGAGGTTCGACGAGTTAAGTAACTTGCTCAAGCTTGGAAATCTAGTAATAACTGGATTCATACTGGCATCCGGCTGACTTCCAAGGCCATCTGTTGCCAGGTTGAAGTCAACTACAGAGGTAGAGAGAATATTGCTCTGGATTTGTTGTGCTGGGTCTGAGTAATTGCTGAGGGGCCTTTTCCTATGGACTCTGGAGTCTCTCTTCTCTCTAGCCCCCTTTCCAATACTGTATTGGTTTTTCTCAGTCTGCCTTTCTCCCCGAAGCCCCTTCACCCCCTGCTTCCCAGTACCTGAGTGCTGCCTGCCTTCCACAGTAGACTTTATGGCCTAAGCTGGAGACAGGTCTAAGCTGGACCGAATGGCCTGAGGGCTGATCTCAGTGTAGCTGTCAAGGCCCCAAGAGAGTCATCATGAGATTTCATATAGAGCAGATAAGGAACTGCAGAGGCCTCAGGAAATGTGCCAAGGGGGCTGGTGGGGGGGGCCAGCAGGAGTGGGGGGTTTGTGGTATGTCGGTGGCGATGTCAGGGCATGTGGGCCAGGGGCTTAGAGCAGGCCCATGTGACAGCGCAGTTACTCAGAAAGCTGTTTGGCCTGCAGATGCTTCAGGACTGCCCCAAGGCCCGCAGGGAGGTGGAGCTGCACTGGCGGGCCTCCCAGTGCCCGCACATCGTACGGATCGTGGATGTGTACGAGAATCTGTACGCAGGGAGGAAGTGCCTGCTGATTGTCATGGAATGGTAAGCAGCCACTGTTCTAGTCCCGGCCCAGCCTGTTCCCACTCCTCACTCAGGCACCTTACCCTCTGAGGACAGCCCAGGGATGGGCCTGAAGCCTGGAATGTAAACACTTGATTTTTTGGGGGGCAGTGGAGAGTGGCGGCGGGCTGTTGTGTTCTCTGGATCTCACTGTGGCTTCATTTCAGTTTGGACGGTGGAGAACTCTTTAGCCGAATCCAGGATCGAGGAGACCAGGCATTCACAGAAAGAGGTAGAAAGGGTCTGTTGTGGGAGCACGTGCAGGCAGGCAGGGCAGTGGGGGTCTGAAGGGGGCCTTTGCAGTGCCTGCTCTTGGGGAAGGGTGCTGAGGCTGCTGCCCCCTCCAGCATGCTGCAAGGGGTGCCTCAGCTGACCAGGGAAGCTCCTGGTGGCTTTGTTTCTGGGGTGGGTGGTGGCTGTGGGGAGCCTCAGGCTGCACAGAGGTGGGACCCGGTGCACTGGGTTTTCAAGCCTAATGATGTGTCTTTGTGACTTTCTTTCCCACTCACTCTTCCCTCCCCTCTACAGAAGCATCCGAAATCATGAAGAGCATCGGTGAGGCCATCCAGTATCTGCATTCAATCAACATTGCCCATCGGGATGTCAAGGTGCCAGCTGTTCATAACCCTGAGCCCGAGTGCTGTGGGGGGCAACAAAGGGGCTGTGGCCACCCCAGAGATGGTTGCCAGGCCACCCTGCGTCCTTGCTGCCTGGTTCCTGAGCATGCCATTCTCTGCCTTGTAGGGCCTTGCCCTCTCTGCCCATGGGCAAACCCCTAAACCCAGTAGTGAAGCATTCTCTGGCCCCACTCAGCCCTGTGGTTCTCCTCAGGCAGAACCCCTCAGTCACACTCTTGGTTTCTCTGTTCCTGTGGTGTTTACTGCGGGTTCTGTGTGTCAGTCTGTTATCTCCAGGCACTCTGGAAACCCTGCAGAGGCAGGCACCTGCCCATAGAGAGCTGCCACTCCTCGTGGTGGGCAGTGCCCAGGATAGGCAAATGGTTGCTGGATGAGTAGAGGAAGGGAGGAACCAGGATCCTTTTCGTTTCTGATAGCCCCTCCCAGGTCCAGCAGGGTTGCTATTTTTCTGTCTCTCTTTCTGTAGCCTGAGAATCTCTTATACACCTCCAAAAGGCCCAACGCCATCCTGAAACTCACTGACTTTGGCTTTGCCAAGGAAACCACCAGCCACAACTCTTTGACCACTCCTTGTTATACACCGTACTATGTGGGTAAGTCCACAGGGGGCCCAGGGACCTAGGCTTTTCCCAGAACTTTTCTCAGCCCCTCCTCTTGGCTATCTGGGGGGCCGCAAATCCTAGGAGAGTTGTGTCTGTATGGCCCCTTCTGGTGCTGGTTCTGCTGGGACCTGCTGAGAAGTAGGGCTTGTCAGAGCGAAGCTACAGTTGAGAAATTGTAGGAAAGGATCTGCTGGGATCTTTCTGAGAAGAGCCATGGTTTCCATCAGATTCTCCATGGAGTCTGGACCCAGGTCTTGTTCTGGAGCCACAGCTGATTGGCATGGAAGAAGCTTTCAAAGCATGTTCAGAGCATCTGTGAAATTAAATGAACGGCATGGGCCTGAAAGTCTCATGCAGTTCAGGATTTTTAGAATCTTAAGCTCCTAGTTCCAGGTTCCTCATGGAGGAGGATGTTCTGTTCCAGTCCCTGGGCTGGGCTTTGGCTCTTCCTTCTGTGCCCCAACTGCTGCCACCTCATGATAGGCTGAAAGGTTGGGATGGGGAGCATCTTTCACAGAGAAACTGAGTGGATCACAGGGTTCTGAGGGCCGGCCCACCCATGTTGACCTTTGATTTGCAGCTCCAGAAGTGCTGGGTCCAGAGAAGTATGACAAGTCCTGTGACATGTGGTCCCTGGGTGTCATCATGTACATCCTGTGAGTGTGCTGGGGAGGGGGCTGGGTGGGGCAGGGAGTCAGGGCGGCCTGTACTTCTCCAGGACAAGAGGAAGAGGCAGACGTTAGCATTCCCCTTTGTACAGGGGAGTCCCCTGCGTGCCCCTTCTCTCAGTTCCGATAGCTAAGTGGCGGGTGTAAACCAGCTCATGGGCTGGAAAGTGTGCGCCTTAGATACTTGCTATGCTGGATTCCCGGGCCCCGGGCTTGACTTTGTATATTGTGCCTGTGTCAATAAGCCCTGATTTCTCTGTGACCTTTACAAGGAGAAGAGCCTGTTTCTCATCCTGTTCCTGGTACAGGGCCACTAAGTGACAGCTGTTCTGTCTCCCACTTCCTTCCTCCTGTTGATGCAGGCTGTGTGGGTATCCCCCCTTCTACTCCAACCACGGCCTTGCCATCTCTCCGGGCATGAAGACTCGCATCCGAATGGGCCAGTATGAATTTCCCAACCCAGAATGGTCAGAAGTATCAGAGGAAGGTAAGAACCCAGGCTTTCAGGACAAGGGGAAGAGCCCGTGTGTGTGTGTGTGTGTGTATGTGTGTACACGCAGACACATGTATGGGCCTCCATCTCATGTGCGTGGTGTAACTGTGGGTTAGCACCTATGCCCACGCCTGCGGGGTGCGTCCTGCTTCATTTTGCCTGTGTGGAGGGCTGGAGGCAGGGCCAAGGCTGTGGGGCTGTGCAGGGCCTCTCAAGTGGTACAGCCGTAATGGTCCTTGGGGCCAGTTGCTCCGGCAGCCTGCCTCCATGCACCCCCTCTTTGAACCTGGTTTCCCCATGAAAACTGGGGAAAGGAGCAGGCCAGGGAGAGTGACCCCTGAGCTGTCACTGCCCCCTGTCCCACCCCACAGTGAAGATGCTCATTCGGAATCTGCTGAAAACAGAGCCCACCCAGAGAATGACCATCACCGAGTTTATGAACCACCCTTGGATCATGGTAAGCTCGGCAGGCTGGGGAGCCTTGGGTCTCACGGGACTATTCCACAGGACAGAGTCTTAGCCAGGACCCTACCCCAGGCTTTCACTCGGACCCCTTTTCTCTCTTCTCAGCAATCAACAAAGGTCCCTCAAACCCCACTGCACACCAGCCGGGTCCTGAAGGAGGACAAGGAGCGGTGGGAGGATGTCAAGGTGAGGGGCACCACTGGGTGAGAGGGGCTCCAGGTGGGGTGGGCGGCTTGCGGGGAGTGCCCAGGTGTGAGGCGTGGTGCTGGTAGGGGAGAGCTTGATTCTGCCTCTCTCATCCCAGGGGTGTCTTCATGACAAGAACAGCGACCAGGCCACTTGGCTGACCAGGTTGTGAGCAGAGGATTCTGTGTTCCTGTCCAAACTCAGTGCTGTTTCTTAGAATCCTTTTATTCCCTGGGTCTCTAATGGGACCTTAAAGACCATCTGGTATCATCTTCTCATTTTGCAGAAGAGAAACTGAGGCCCAGAGGCGGAGGGCAGTCTGCTCAAGGTCACGCAGCTGGTGACTGGTTGGGGCAGACCGGACCCAGGTTTCCTGACTCCTGGCCCAAGTCTCTTCCTCCTATCCTGCGGGATCACTGGGGGGCTCTCAGGGAACAGCAGCAGTGCCATAGCCAGGCTCTCTGCTGCCCAGCGCTGGGGTGAGGCTGCCGTTGTCAGCGTGGACCACTAACCAGCCCGTCTTCTCTCTCTGCTCCCACCCCTGCCGCCCTCACCCTGCCCTTGTTGTCTCTGTCTCTCACGTCTCTCTTCTGCTGTCTCTCCTACCTGTCTTCTGGCTCTCTCTGTACCCTTCCTGGTGCTGCCGTGCCCCCAGGAGGAGATGACCAGTGCCTTGGCCACAATGCGCGTTGACTACGAGCAGATCAAGATAAAAAAGATTGAAGATGCATCCAACCCTCTGCTGCTGAAGAGGCGGAAGAAAGCTCGGGCCCTGGAGGCTGCGGCTCTGGCCCACTGAGCCACCGCGCCCTCCTGCCCACGGGAGGACAAGCAATAACTCTCTACAGGAATATATTTTTTAAACGAAGAGACAGAACTGTCCACATCTGCCTCCTCTCCTCCTCAGCTGCATGGAGCCTGGAACTGCATCAGTGACTGAATTCTGCCTTGGTTCTGGCCACCCCAGAGTGGGAGAGGCTGGGAGGTTGGGAGGCTGTGGAGAGAAGTGAGCAAGGTGCTCTTGAACCTGTGCTCATTTTGCAATTTTATCAGTAATTTGACTTAGAGTTTTTACGAAACCTCTTTTGTTGTCCTTGCCCCACTCCTCTCCACCAGACGCCTTCCTCTCTGGATACTGCAAAGGCTTGTGGTTTGTTAGAGGGTATTTGTGGAAACTGTCATAGGGATTGTCCCTGTGTTGTCCCATCTGCCCTCCCTGTTTCTCCACAACAGCCTGGGGTTGTCCCCGCTGGCTCACGCGTTCTGGGAGCTCAAGGCCACCTTGGAGGAGGATGCCACGCACTTCCTCTCTCGGAGCCCTCAGACATCTCCAGTGTGCCAGACAAATAGGAGTGAGTGTATGTGTGTGTGTGTGTGTGTGTGTGTGCACACGTGTGTATGAGTGCGCAGATCTGTGCCTGGGATCGTGCATTTGAGGGGCCAGGGGCAGGCAGGGCTGCAGAGGGAGACGGCCCTGCTGGGGCTTAGGAACCTTCTCCCTTCTTGGGTCTGCCCTGCCCATACTGAGCCTGCCAAAGTGCCTGGGAAGCCCACCCAGATTCTGAAACAGGCCCTCTGTGGCCTGTCTCTATTAGCTGGGTTCCGGGAGGCAGAGAGGAGTGACCGGGCACTGGCACTGCGATCAGGAAGACTGGACCCCCAGCCCCCAGGGCCCCCCTCCCCCCACTTAGTGCTGGTCCTAGGTCCTCTGAGGCACTCATCTACTGAATGACCTCTCTACTTCCCCTTCTTGCCATTATTAACCCATTTTTGTTTATTTTCCTTAAATTTTTAGCCATTTCTCCATGGGCCACCGCCCAGCTCATGTAGGTGAGCCTGGGCAGCTTCTGTTGGCAGAGCTTTTGCATTTCCTGTGTTTGTCCTGGGTTCTGGGGCATCAGCCAGCTACCCCTTGTGGGCAAAGGCAGGGCCACTTTTGAAGTCTTCCCTCAGATTTCCATTGTGTGGCCTGGTGGGTCAGGGGGAGTCTTTGCACCAAAGATGTCCTGACTTTGCCCCCTTGCCCATCAGCCATTTGCCATCACCCCAAACAACTCAGCTTCGGGGCCGGTGAGGGGAGGGGCCTCCCCCAGCACAGATGAGGAGCAGCTGGGGTAGGCTGTCTGTGCCATGGCCCCCCACTCCCCCTTCCCTTGGAGGGAGAGGTGGCAGGAATACTTCACCTTTCCTCTCCCTCAGGGGCAGGTGGTGGAGGGGCGCCCAGGGTCGTCTTTGTGTATGGGGGAAGGCGCTGGGTGCCTGCAGCGCCTCCCTTGTCTCAGATGGTGTGTCCAGCACTCGATTGTTGTAAACTGTTGTTTTGTATGAGCGAAATTGTCTTTACTAAACAGATTTAATAGTTGAGAGTTTTTCTTTCTCTTTCTTCCTGGGGCTCAGGCCTTACCCCCCACCGCCTCTATGTGCAGAGGGGTTTTGTTGGGTGGTGAGGGTGTGGGTTGGGGGTCCTGGGAGAGGAGCGGAGGGCCTCCTGGGCGAGCAGGAGCCAGCACCTCATTGGTGAGGACCTGGGCAGGATGTGTGTAGGGCATCCTTAAAGCAGGACAGGGAGGCTGCAAGGGCTCAAGCCCATCTTCTTTTGCCAAATGCAGAATCAGGAGCCAAGCTCTTTTTGGCATATGATTCTTTGACCTACATAGCCACCACCAGGTGCTGGCACCTTTAGCCTGCGAAAGCCAGCTGGTATAGGGTCCAGGGAAGAGGGGGTGCTGGTGAATTTGGTTGAAATCCTGGTAAAGATACCAGGGGAGCAGGTTAGTGTAGTACCGGCACTCTCCAGGAGGCGGTGATAGGGGTCAGGCAGAAACCAAAGGCTCTACCTCGGAGCTAGAAGAGACTTCATGGTTCCTGTGGCCCATTCTCAGTGCACAGATGAGAAGACTGAAGCCCAGAGCTGGGGCCACATGATGACTTGACCCGCAGCAGAGCCTAAAGTAGAAACTGGGCTACCTGCCCCATTGCAGTCCCTCCGGGTCAGATGGGAAAATAGCACATCCTTCACTGTGTCACCCGCATTTTCTTATGTGACCCTCAGAGCTGCCAGCAAGAGACAGTACAGGGCGGCTGCTGATTGCTGTTTTATGTGTGAGGAAAGTGACTGAGAAGGTGGGATGATGTGCCACAGTTGCATGGTGGGATTGGAACTCAGATCCCTCTCCCCGCTGGAGGAGAGACCTGCTTGTCCCCTTTGCTGCCAGAAGGACCATGTCTCCACCCTCAGCTCCTGGGAACAGCAGGCCCTGGACCTCCCCTTCATGACAGTGGGTTGCTGAGGTTGGTTCTCGCCTTGAGACACTACTCATCACTCTAAAATCACAGCTCAAAACAAACCAGCATGGGGGTTTGCTTTCAGAGAAATCCACTTATTTTGTCTGCACTTATGAAGGTGTTAGAAGCAATAACCCAAGAAGGAGGAATAAGGGGTGCTAGGAGGGAGTCAGGGAGAGAAGGAGAGGAAGTTGTCAGAGTTCTGCTATCTTTAGAAGCTGTTATTAGTTTCCTGTTAACAAAGCTTCTGCCATATTAATTTTATGGCTTAAAACAACACAAATTTATGATATTCCTGTTCTGTAGGTCAGGAGTGTGATAGGGTCTCACTAGGCTGGCTGGAGTCCAGGTCTCAGCAGGGCTGCATTCCTCTTTGGAGGGTGTTTCCTTGCCTTTATCAATTCTAGGGGCTTCCTGCATTCCTTGGGTCATGACCCCCTTTCTCCATCTTCAACCGCAACCTTGCATTTTTCTGATCCTTCTGTGGTCACTTCTCTGACCCAGCTGGTGTGATAAGATTGAGCCCACTCAGATAATCCAGGATAATCTCCTCATTGCAGGGCCCTTAACCGTAATCCCATCTGCAAAGTCCCCTTTGCCATGTAAGGGAACATAGCCACAGTCTGGGGACCAAGACATGGGCATCACTGGGGGCCAGGATTCTGCCACAGAGGCCCGTTGCACAGCCTTCTTGGCCTCATGCCCAACGTTGGCCCTTGTGTTTTGCTTCCTTCCCTGACTCAGCCCATTTCAGGAGGATGCTTTTGTGGTCAGCAAGGATTCAGGCTGGGGTTGGCTTTCAGGGAAAATGGCTGGGGCGAAGGGCCAGGAGGGGTCTGGCATGGTTAGTGGGGTCTTGCCACAGCTTTTCACCCCCATGCCCATGTCCCTGACCTTCCATGCTGGCATGGCCCTGCGAGTCCCTGTCTCTAGGGAGAGCTTAACACCTCTGCTAAATGCCTGGGTGGGATGGCAATGGAAACTTTTGTCCCTAAAGGCAGATGCTGGCTTGCATGGGTTCAGGAGCAGGTGTGCTTCTTGAACACCCTTAAGTAGTGTGAGATGTAAAGAGGAGCATAGAGACACTCCTGGGCCCCTACCAAGTACCGATGCTGGGCTCTTCCCCTCCATCTCTTCATTATCAGAACCCTCTGAGGTAGTCAGTCTCGTTTCCAGCTTACCTGTAAGAAACTCCAACTCAGAGGAGTAAAGGGACTCGCCCAGCATCACACAGCTAGTCAGGGATTCTGACCTGGATCTCCTGTTTCCAAGTTTAGAGCTTCTTTAAGAAAGCCCATGGACATCGTCTTGGTAAGGGAGTGCAGAGGGGGCGGGGAGGAGAGGAGATATGAGGCTGGATTCCACTCCACTGAGGAAGGTCTAGTTTTCTTTGCTATAGAATGAGGGTGATAGTCCTAGGCCTGTGGCTGTTTTAAGGATTCAGTGAGATGGTGGATTTATTTATTTATCTGAGACAGAGTCTTACTCCATCACCCATGCTGGAGTGCAGTTGTGTGATCTTGGCTCACTGCAACCTCCGCCTCCCAGGTTCAAGGAATTCCCCTGCCTCGGCCTCCTGAGTAGCTGGAATTACAGGCACATACCACCATGCCCAGCTAATTTTTGTATTTTTAGAAGAGATGAGGTTTTACCATGTTGGCCAGGCTGGTCTCGAACTCCTGATCTCCAGTGATCCGGCCACCTCAGCCTCCCAAAAAGTGCTGGGCTTACAGGCATGAGCCACTGTGCCCAGCCTAGATGGTGGATTTAAATGCTTCCTAAAATGCCAGCTGCCAGGTGGCCTTTATCACCAGGAGGGTCCCACCCCTCAGTGCGCTGCTCAGCAGTGGGAGCACAGGGAGCCCCAGGCTTGGAGTCGAGTCAGTGGCCTAGGCCTGGTCCACGCTCCTGCCCTGAGCTTCACGGCGGGTCTCTGTGCCTTGGGGTGAGCAGGCAGTTGGGTTGGTAAACAATAACAGTAAATTTGGGGTTTTCCTTTGACTGGGTTGGAGACAGGAAATGCAGGAGGCTGTGAGTGACGAGTGGGTAGAGTGGGTAGCAGGTAGGTCGGGTAGGTCGGGCCTGCTCAGGGTGTGAAGGAAATTCAGTTATTCAAGGGAGGAGGGTGAGGGTGGTGAGGCTGGGGAAAGTGGCTGGCCCACTTACTGGTGAATATAAACAAACCCTCTGGGCACTCCCCAGGTGGGGCAGAGTGGGGACAGGGGAGGCTTTGAGGGGCAGCCACCGCATCCTCAGCCCTGAGAATGCAGCTCCTTTCGGGCTCTGTCTCTGGAAGCCTACATTTAGGGGCTCCAGCCGCCCCTGGGTCCTTTTGCTCACTTCATCTTCCTGTCGTCTCCCTGCACTCAGTCAGAACAGTGTGGCTCCCCAGCATACTCGACCACTAGATAATCCAGGCACTTGGTGTATGTCCTGTGCTTTGGGAGAAACAAATGAAGTGTAGGGCACAGTTCCTGCCCTTGAGAACCTAGTTGGGGAGATACAAAATGCCTGTGTGCAGCAGCAAGTGGCTTTGTCTTCCCTTTCCCTGTACCCACAGGCCTGGACACATTAGGGGCTGTTCCAGACTGAGAACAATGTGTCATTCAAGCCCAGGTGGCATAGGGCAGCCTCTTAGGGCCCCAGAGGTTTTCAGATGAGCATGAGTGAGGTGAAAAAACCAAAATGACAAAATAAACCACACCCTGGATCCTCGTCCTCTGGACGAAGATCTCACATCTATGCCTTGTTGGGGAGGATTTCAGTCCTCCCCCACCCAGGCATGTGAAGATTAAATGAGGCTGTGCCAAGACTTGGAAAGGTGGGGGAAGTGCAACTCGTGTGGAAAGATAGGACTGCCCCCTGGGCTCTGGGCCACCATTCAGACAGGTCAGTGCCTTGGCCTTTTCAGCCTAGGCTGCTCTTTAAAAAGAAGACCTTCAGCCACTATCCAAGAGTAAAAATGTCACATTTTCAACATTCAGCTCATCTTGAGCACCTCCTCTGTGTCATGCCCAGTGCTTAGGACTTCGGAGACACACAGATGAGTCCAGAAGTGGGTCTAGCCTTTGTGGAGCTCAGCATAGAGAAGTGGCGGGCATCGCTGTAACAGAAGAACTGATGCTCTCCAGAACAGGAGCAGAGGTGGTTGGAGTGCATAAGGTGGAGCTATTCTGTTAGAGACCCAGGAGAGCTTCCTAGCAGCCCTTCAAGCTGGCACCTGACTGACAGTTTTGATGGCAGAAAATGGAATAGCATGATGGAGATTTCCCCATTGCATTTCTGCTCTCACTTCTCTCTGCAAGAGCTAGATCCTTCCTTCTCCAACAGGTTCACCCCTCCTGTCTTGTGGTCTGAACTGCTGTCTGTCTGCTCATCTCGTTAGCTTGACCTTTGACCCCTCATGGGTTCTGCTCATGGAAATCTGATTTACTCCTCTCTGTGGGGTGCCCTTGGTGTTTTCTGTCCATTTTCCCTTTCCAGCCCCTCCAACTTGGATTTGCCTCATAAATGATGTTTGCTCCCTGAAAAACAAAATTTGGGGATGTGGGCTGATGGGGCTTTTGCCACGTTTCACTCAATTCATTAATTTTTTAAAAAGTGTTACAGTGGTACACCTTAAACTTAGATCTTTTGTAGTTAGGCACTTTCTGAATCATCATGGAAAATGATGACATTACATGAAATTGAGAGCCCTCCTGGAAGAGCAGGATGAGCAATTGTTAGGGGCTTCCTTGCCCCTCTTCCCTCTGCCACTAAAAGGCCTTTCTCATCCCTTTGTCCTCATGGTTCTTACTCCACTCAGTTTAAAAGTGGAGCCCTTGGGAGCCTCCCTGGCACTCACACACAAAAATGTCAATATACTTGGCGTCCACCCTTTCCATTTTTAACACACCACCATCTGGAACCCAGAATTACCTTGGAATTTACTTGTCTCCTCTAGAGGGAGTCATAATTGCTTGGAAGGTAAGTTACTGCCCAGAGCCTCTGGCCAGGAAGTCTTTTGGCTGTCAAGCCTGCAGGATTTCAGGTGGGGCTGCCAAGGTGGTGGAACCTGTGTTTGATAAGTCATTTTTAGGGACCAGGGCTGCCATGCAAATGCATTTGTTTGCATAACTTTCTTGCTCTCAGGGACAGTAAAGTTTCCTACTGCCATCCCACACCCCTGCCAGGATTTGCAAGTGAAATACCAGGACTGACTTTCCACTTTCCCCCTTCATGAGTCCTCCCTTCCTAAGTCCTCCCCCACCCCTTGGTTTTGGTTTTGTCTCTGAGGTCCTGTGTGACCAAATACTAGTCTCAACCTCTCTGATCCTAGGGTAGTAGTGTTTCCAGGACCCTGATATGCAAAGTATCTGTACAAGTTATGCAAATGAGCATCCTGTCTGGGTGGCTCTGGTCCTAGCCCCGGGCAGTTACTAGCTCTGACTACTGCTGTCCGAGTGTGTGAAACGTGATCTTGCTCCTTCCTCTGTCCAGGCAGCTGTGGGTCTCTTGTTCCTCAAACAGCTACTGCCTCTTGGGGTAATAAGGCCTCAAGTTTCAGAATGAGCTGAGTTCTCCTAGCCCTTACCTTCTGATCTGGAGACATGTGGTTCTGAATTCACCAGTCAAAGGTTTACTTTTGAAAGAAACCACGATCTCATCTAAGTCTAAGACAGAGACCTTGGTTAGCTGGAGTCTGTGGTGCAGAGAGACCTGGTATTTGTAGTAAGACCTAGAGGGGCCTTTGGTTTTCTGGCACTCAGCTGTCTCCTTTTCTGGTCACAAACCTATTCTAAGGAAATGGTCCTCATAGTGAGACTCTAGCCCTACCCACCCACAGGAGGGTCGAGGGCAGGAGGGGAAGGATGACAGCCAGGCATTCTTTGAGCCAGTGTGCAAGGAAGAGAAAGGGTAGACGAGAAATTCAGTCTGATCGGCTTATTTCAGGCTCTGAAAATGACAGCTGACTCAGGGTAGGTGCTTAGTATCTGTTGGATGGATGAAAGCATCTAAAGGAAAATTAACACAAGTAATTTTAGTAACTCAAACAAGACATTATATGTACATATATAGACATACAGAGTGAGGCGTGAACCTTTCTCTTTATAACGTCTCCACCTCAGTGATGCCAATTCCCTCTCCAGAAAAAACTTCATTGAACAGCTTTATTTTTTTTGAAATTTTTATCCAAAAAGTTTCTGAAAATTTATCTAGATACAAATATACTTATAAGCACAACTGAGAAGTTTCTTTGGCAGTTATAACAAGTACAAATGGAATCATTAGGCATATTGTTCTGCAACCTGCTTTTAAAAAATTGTGATAAAATACACTTAACTGAAAATTTACCATCTTAAACATTTTTAACTGTAAACTTCACTAGTATGTTCACATTGTTGTGCAACTGACAGACTTTTTCATACCCATGAAACAACATACAGCTTGCTTTTTTCACTTAGCATATCTTGTGAATTTCCATGATCAAACTCATAGAACTATCATTCTTTTTCTAAATAGTTGCAGAGTATTTTATAGTATGATGTACCACAATTTATCTGCTGTGGATGGATATTTCTCACCTCCTTTCTTTTTTATTTGTCTTTTAACCTCATTTGCACTGAAGGACTACCCTCCCCCCCTTTTTCTACTATTTATATAGATCTCACAAATATCTTGTACAGTATCTTCGAGTGTGTGTGTAAGGATTTCTGTAGTATAGATCCCTAGTAGTGGAATGGCAAGATCTAAGGGTATACACATTTTAGTTTTTGATAGGGACTGCCAAAAAGACAGTATCGATTTATGAATGAATGCACTTTGCATATTGCTTTCCAAGTGAGAGCTTTACGAAAGGGTTTGCTGTCAGCAGCAAATCTGGGGGTAGAGTCAGTCAGCCGAGAGTAAAAGGGCATTTATAGCACTTCCCAAAACTGATAGATGTAGACCCTTGGCCACATTGTGGGCGAGTGGAAAAGTCAGCTGTAGAGGGGTTTAGGGGATTCCTTCAACATCTCCCCATATCAGTGGCCCTGCTCACTCAATTATGGTTATTTGCATACATTTTGGGCATGTAGGCAGAATGGCTCAAAGACAAAAATCTGAGGTTCAGCCTTGTTTGGCCTCCTGGTGTTTGATCTTGACCGGGCTACCTGCTTCTCTGACTGGCATGCAAATGCCTGTGGGGGATGACAAGTGTGCACATAACATAAGTGACATAAGGCTGACTCTGGTGGGTGCTGTAAGAGAGGCCCAGAGTGCTGTGGGAAGTTACAGAGGAGGCACGCCTCTGGTTAGGAATAGCAGGGAGGAGGAGGCGGCTTTGACTCCGGGTTGTAGGTGTTGTGGGGCACACAGGACACATGCAGGACCCACTATACAGGAGCTCACTAGACAGGAGCTCAGCCACATTGCCTCCCAATGTGACACTGATTGTGTGCCCAGCCCTCTGCTGGGTACCGAATCTGAGGCATCAGTCTTGGGGATGGCTTGGGATGTGGTGGTCAGTAGCTCAGTTGCATATGGCACAAAGATAAATCTTTGGAGTTACTCTAAGCTGGGTCCCAACTATGAGCAGATGACTTGTCCTCTCTGAGCCTCAGCTTGTCAACCGGTAAAATGGGAATTATTATTGAGGCACCCATGAACATGTGCCCCAGAGACCTCCTATTATGGGGAGCTTATTTGTCCAAGGGCCCCAGCTATGGCACTCTGAAATTCATTGTCTCATTTGTGTGGAGGCCACACTTCCTTTCTCGTGCTCCCAGTCAATGACAGTACAACAGGGATGTGAAGACGCACCCGTTCCTGGGAGAACCAGGACTCGAAGGATGGCCAGCTTTGCCCCTGGCAACTTCATAGACACTTGTGCCTGGGGCCCTTGTGCACATCCTCCTCTCCCTCTTTCCTTAGTGGGGTCACACACCGGTGGTTCCCCAGCCTCGCTTCACACTCCCTATTTTCTCTCATAAAGAAATTTCCCCTAACTGAACCCTTGTATGTGTAATCCTGTTTTGGCATCTGCTTCTTGGAAAATCTAGACTACAATATTATCACCAACCTTAGAAGGTGGTGAGGACTAAATGAAAAATCAGGTAAAAAAATCATATGAAAGACTTAGCATAGTTATATAAACGATTATGGAAAAGCCTCAGCCTGGCACATAGTTAGCACTCATTATTATCATATATTCTCATGCATTATACAGTGGGTACTGTAGCCATCATTGTACCAGTGTGAGCAGGTTAATTTAACTTAGGAGACTGCATTTAGAAGTCAAGAAACCTGCTTTCCTGCCCCTTCCCTGCTCTATCTCCCGAGTTCTCTATCCCCTCACATGTGCCCTTTATATAAGAGTGGCAGTTGTTACTCTTAACTCCCTAGGCTGGCCCCGGACTCCTCTTTTTGGGATAAAGGTGATTAACGCCGTGTGGCTTTTGCTGAGAAGGGAGGCTGCTACAGGGGTCTGCTGCAGGGACGTTCAGACTCAGTGGATTTGTAGCTCTTTAGCCCCGCAGAGAGGAGCCCCTGCCCTGCTGAGCTGTAGGCTTGCTGGGAGGTAGCAGGAGTAGGTGGGTGGGTCACTGAGGGGTGCTGGCAGCCGGGTAGTGTTGGCGGTGGGGGCTGAGGGAGGATGATGGGAAGACAGTGAGCCTCCGAGTGAAACAGACCATGAGAGGCGAGGTGAGTCACAGGTTTCTCTCAAAACCCCCATGCCCATGGTCTCTAGAATGTGCCGAAAGTGGAGCCCGCCATCCCCAGCCTAGGCCCCAGTTCTAAGAATGCCTCCCCTTCTCTCCCTCCCACAGTCGCCCAAATTAATCAGGTCCTCGGCTTTGGGGGGTATCGTTCTCTTTTAAGAATGCAGCAGAGAAAACCGCTGGGTTGTATCCCAGCAAAGGAGGCCACAGAGATTAGGGCTGATTGGGAGGAAATGTGAGAAGAGCGGTGTCTAGTTTAGGTTTTAGAACCTGGCTCTTCCTGCTCACACCACCAAAGAAAATTTGGCTTGAGAGATTCAAAAGAGGTTGTGTGGTGTGTAGGCTGCAACCCTAGATTCCTACAGATCTGGATTCATGGTCTTGCTCTAGCACCCAGCAGCTCAGAGCCCTCAGTGTTTGTATGCGTCAATTCCCCAATTAGTAAAAACAGTGATTTAAGAGCATCTTTGTTATAGCGCTGTTGTGAGAATGAGATAGCGAATCAGTATTAACCTTTAGCCCAGTTCCTAAATTAAAGCCCTATGAAGAGCCTCTCAGCTCAGTTCAGAGACTGCCAGTTCCCCCTTGTGAGTCTTTCTTTTCTTTTGGATTTTTGATCTCCAACGACTCCATAAGGAAGTGAAATAATTATCCCCATTTTATAGATTTGTAAACTGAGGCTCAGCTTGATTAAGTACCTAGGAAACAATCCTTTGTAGTACAGGACCCTGAGGTTCAACAGTGGTTTATCGCCTCCTTGGGACACCACCCAAAGGCAAAAGGGAAGCAGCGAAAGCATTTGAAGCTCAGAGAGGCTCAAGGCCAAGCCACAGCTTAGGGACCTGCAAAGTTCGCGGAGCTGCAGAGCTGGACGGGTGGGGCAGAAGCCACTCTTTCCATCCTCCAGGTCCTTGCGGTGGAACATTCCTCAGTTACCAGCACAACTCATTTTGAGTTTTGTTCACATGTCACTTTTCTCTTTCTTTTCTTTCTTTCTTTCTTTCTTTCTTTCTTTCTTTCTTTCTTTCTTTCTTTCTTTCTTTCTTTCTTTCTTTCTCTTTCTTTCCTTCCTTCCTTCCTTCCTTCCTTCCTTCCTTCCTTCCTTCCTTCCTTCTTTCTTTCTTTCTTTCTTTCTTTCTTTCTTTCTTTCTTTCTTTCTTTCTCTTTCCTCCTTCCTTCCTTCCTTCCTTCCTTCCTTCCTTCCTTCCTTCCTTCCTTCCTTCCTTTCTTTCTTTCCTTTTCTTTCTTCTTTTTTTTTTTTTTTTTAGAGGGAGTCTCGCTCTGTCTCCCAGGCTGGAGTGCAGTGGTGCGACCTTGGCTCACTGCAATCTCCGCCTCCTGGGTTCAAGTGACTCTTATGCCTCAGCCTCCCATGTAGCTGGGATTACAGGCACCCGCCACCAGGCCCGGCTACTATTTGTATTTTTTAGTCGAGACGGAGTTTCACCATGTTGGCCAGGCTGATCTCGAACTCCTGACCTCAAGTTACCCACCCGCTTTAGCCTCCCAAAGTGCTGGAATTACAGATGTGAGCCACTGCCCCCTGGCCACGTGTCACTTTTTCAATGACACCTACCCTTATTGTCTGATTTAGAACTGCAATTTTTCCTCCCACCTTTGACTCCTCACTCTGGGCATTCTCTGTAACCCTTCATGGCTCTATTTTAAAAAATCGTTTTTATTGAATTACTGTGTACATACACACAGTTATCCTACTTAATTTTCCCCCATAGATCTGATCACCTTCTAAAAATCTGTATAACTTGTTTATAATGGCTAGCATGTAACCTCCACAAGGGCAGGGATTTGTGTCTGTTTTATCCATGGACACATCCCAGTGCCTGGCATATAGCAGCTCTCAGCTACTTATTGAAGGTTGGTGGGAAATTGCTGGCATCCAGTACTCTTTGCAGAGAATGAAGATGAACCTCCCTGACTTGACAGTTTCGTGGAGAACAACACAAGGCGCTGTATGAGTCAGTGCTAAGGGCTGTGGTAACGACAGCAGCACGTGCTGGGTGGGACCAGGAGCATGTCCCCAGAAGTCTGTGAGATCCAGGGAAGCCCTCCTAGAGGAGGTTAGTTGGCACTTCCATTTCTTTAGCTCCCCCATCAGCTGAGACAGCTCCTCCTGCCCTAATAGAGGGAAGGATTCACTCTGTCAAACCCAGATACCTCCTGCTCTTTCTGCCCATTTCCTCTTGTTCTGCCCTCAGTGGGTCCTGTGGCGGTAACCGCACTAACCATTCCAGCCCATCTCATTCCTTACCCCACAGTCCCAGCAGGCTAAGTATGGGCTGCTGCAGACAAATTGCCCACAGGCTTGTGTAGCTTGGAAGGGGCAAGCAGCAGACAGCTTGCCCTTGGAGTAGGGTTGAACCCATGGATGCACATCCTGGCACTTGTCATGAAGCCCAACACATAGATGATGCTCAGTAAATATAGGATGAGTGGATGGATAAAGCTGAGAGTTAAAAGATGCCTGGAGGCCAGGTGCAATGGCTCATTTCTGTAATCTCAGTGCTTTAGGAAGCAGAGCAGGAGGATTGCTTGAGACCAGGAGTTCAAGGCTGCAGTAAGCTATGATAACCACCACTGCACTCCAGCCTGGGTGGCAGTGCCCTAAAAAAAAAAGAAGAAAAGAAAAATAAGATGCTCTGAGAAGACATTTAAATGACTCAGTCTCTGTCTAGACACAACAGTGGCATCATTTAAACAAATTTCTGTTTTTTTTTTTTTTTTACTTTACTATGTGTTTGTATTTAGCATTTTATTTTATGCCACTTTCCCCAAATGGAAGCTTGCGTGATTGTATTCTGTGTGGCACAAAATCAAGGAAATAGGAAAATAACAATGAGAATGTAGGGAGAGGAGGATACATACCAAAAGCCCTCACTCAGTGGAGCCAAGTGGAGCTGAAACCCGGATAGTAAAACCTGCTGTTGTCTAGATGTTCAGACCCCTGCTCCTCCAATGAGCCATTCTGAGGACAACCCTGGGCCACAACCCTATTGTGGGGGTAGGAGTATATTCCTTGGTCCTCAAGCTTATAGGAGAAGTGGAGTGTCACAATTCTTACGGGGTCCCAATTCCTCTCTGTATTTATATTAGTATCACATGTCCCTAAACAGGCATATTGAAGAGTAGGTTGAGACATGGGCATTCTGGGGTATATCTGAGTCACAGAATCTCAGGGCTGGAGGCCCACAAAAGGATACTTTTGTTTATTTCTCAAACTTTCTGAAATCATAGATCACCAAATCATAATATTTGCCATGCTCCACCCTTGCAAACTTTTTACTTAAAAGATATACTGACTCCAAACCTCTGAATAGCCACATATAGAGCATAAACTAAGGGGATGGAATTGTTTTAGGTATTGTGGTTGCAAAAAGATAACATTTCATCAGTCTTCACTACCAGAACATAGAGAACTCTATTATTTTTCCCAATTCTAATAGCACACTTGCAATTGTTTTCATAGGATCTAGACTAGAGTTCCATGAACTCTATAATTGAAGTCACCAATCCCGGAATGTACTTACTCCTAAGAAGGAGTTCTGTAGCCACATTGGAAACCACACCCCTTTCTTCTTGATTTGTCCTCATAGGACATGAAGAGTGGTTGGTGATGCCTCTTTAGATTCATTCAGTGATAACTTACAGCCTGAGGCTTTCATGGGGAAGCCAATGAACACTGAACTTCAGAGCCTTGACTTGTGGCCAGATGCAGTGGCTCACACCTGTAATCCCAGCACTTTGGGAGGCCGAGGCAGGAGAATTGCTTGAACCTGGGAGACAAAGTTTGCAGTGAGCCGAGATCATGCCACTGCACTCCAGCCTGGGCAACACAGTTAGAATCCATCTCAAAAAAAAAGAAAGAAATGTGCTCTGTCATAATTCTGGAGACTAGTGGTACAACATCAAGGTACCTGCAGGCATGTTTCTTCTGAAGGCTCTGGAGAAGAATCCTCCTTACCTCTTTTAGTTTTTGGTGGTTGCTGGCAATCCTTTGTTCATGGGAGTTTAATTCCAATATCTGTCTCTGTCTTCATGTGGTTGTCTTTCCTATGTGTGTATGTCTCTGTGTCCAAATTTTAGTCTTATAAGGCCTAGTCATTGGATTAGGGCTCACTCTAATCCAGTGTGAACTCATTTTAACTTGATCACAACTGCAAAGACCCTATTTACAAACAGGGTCACATTCACAGGTACTGGAGGGTTAGGACTTGAACATAATTTTGGGAGACACAGTTCAACCCACAACACCCAGTATGGTCAACAACATGGTGCAGCTGCCACTAAAGGATCAGCAATAGTGGTGAGGCTGCATCACAACAGATGATCCTGGAGAAGGAGGATGATCCTCCTAAGCTGCCTGGACCAGGCCAGCTCCAGGGGTGTCAGCAGGACTTGACTCCTCTGGCTTCCCTTGGCTCCATGACCTCACACTCCCATCTTCCCTTTCATCTTTCTGGCTGTTCCCCCTTGGTTTCCATTGCTGAGATCTCTTCCTCAACTCAACCATTAAATGACTGTGTTCCTCAGTGGCTTAAACTTTCTCTTCTCATTCTATATATATATATATATATTTTTTTGAGTTGGTATCCTCTCCCATGGCTTTAGTTATTTATATACTGATGACTCCAGAATCTTCTGGAGACATCTCCTGAAATCCAATTAGACATCTCTACTTAGGTATCTTAGAGTAGCTCAGCTGAATACATTCCAAATTGCGCTCTTGTTTTTTTTTGAGATGGAGCCTCACTGTGTCACTCAGGCCGGAGTGCAGTGGTGTGATCTCAGCTCACTGCAACCTCCGCCTCCTGAGTTCAAGCGATTCTCCTGCCTCAGCCTCCTGAGTAGCTGGGATTACAGGTGCGCACCACCATGCCTGGCTAATTTTCGTATTTTTAGTAGAGACAGGGTTTCGTCCTGTTGGCCAGGCTGGTCTCAAACTCCTGACCTCAAGCGATTCACCTGCCTTGGCCTCCCGAAGTGCTGGGATTATAGGCATGAGCCACCATGCCTGGCCTAAACTGGGCTCTTTATTGTAGTCCTTTTTAATTTAATCTAATTTAATTTTTGTTTTTTAAAGACTAGTCAAATGCAGTAGTGAGAAGCAGGAAAAGAGGATAACAAGGAGTTTGATCTGTAGCTGATAGTGAACAATCAATCGAGATAATGTACTACCTTTGGACCAGCCAATTCCCACCCCCTCTGCCCCGACACTTTTTAATTTTTTTAACCTAGGCTTCCTTCAAGATTTCCAGCCTCAGTAGGTGGCACCACCATCTGTCCATTTGCCTATGAAATCCTTGGTTTCTTCCTTTCCTCCACTCCTCACATCCAGCCAGTCACCAAGTCTAATTGACTTTACATTTGAACTAGCTCACAAATGTGTCTACATAATGTCCTAGTTATTTTGACTACCACTACCTTGGTTTCTGGCCACCCTCTGATTTTTTTTTTTTTTTTTTTTTTTTGGCTTGGATTACTGTAACAGGTTTTGAAATGGTCTCCCAGATTCTGGTTTTATTCTCTTCAAATCCACTTTCCATACAGCAGCCTGAATGCAAATACAATCATATTATTTTCCTGCTTCAATCTCTCCAGTAGACTCCCACCCTCTTTAGGATATGAGTCAACCTCCCTAACATGGCCTGCTAGACACTGCAAGCTCTGACCCCAACTTACTTCTCGAGCCTCATTTCTCTTTATTCCCTCTTCTTTCTGTCACTTCCCCTGCCCCTTGCTTTCTCCCCCACATTTTTCACATGCTGTTCTTTCAGCCCAGCACACTGTTCCTCCCTTGCTTTACATAATTAACTGACAGTCATAGTTCAGGTCTCAGCTTAAATGTCCTTTCTTCTAGGGAGGCCTTTCCTGATCCACAATTTGCTTGCTCCCATCAGTGCCTGGTCACCAAGTTGCACAACTCCAAGGGGTGAAATTTGCATTGTATTATGTGTGAATGGTGCCCCTGAAATGGTGCAATGCACGAGCCAGCACACTTTGTTCCTCACTGTCACTGTTTAATTATCTTCCCTCCTGGACTGCAAGCTCCAAGTCAGATTCTCCGATGTAAGTCTTGTATAAAGTAAGAACTCAATCAATATTTGTTGAATCAATAAATGAGATCTTAACAGAGAAATGGCTAATTGGAATGTGCACAAGAAATATGAAACAAATTTCTGGAACCCTCCCCTCTTACAGAATAATTTAAGTAATTGAAGATATTTAGTTTGGACAAATGAAGATTTAGAACAGATATAATAGCTGCTTTCAATATTTGTAGGGCTAGTGTGTGAAAATAGAATACATTTATTCTTTTTTTATCCCAGAAAGATAAATAAAAGAGCTGAAGACAGGTTATAGGGAAGCAAATTGGGGCCTGATAATAAAATTGAAATAAACTTCCAACCCTGAGAGTTGTCCAGAAATGAAACAGATGGCACCCAAAGTAATGAGTTCTGCTTCACTGCAAAGATTGAAGTCTGTAGGATCGAACTCCATCTGTAGGATCATTGAGGGCAGCAGCTGGACAAGAGAGCTTTTGAGGCTCTAACTCAAAATTTTATCGTGATTGTATGGCTGTGGGGAAAGTTTACTTTCTACTTAAACTCAAGCATTTATGTAATGCCTCTGTGTGTTGGTCATCACTGGAAACATGCAGAGGTCTGCACTCATCCCTGTGCTCAAAGGTGCACAGCCAGGTTGGAGGCACAGTGTCAAGTTCACAATCTGAAGGCAGAAACTTGCAGAGTATCGAGTGTCTAAAAGTTCAGTACAGAGTGTGGTCTGGCGTTATGCTGGAAGGCGTCACAGAAGAGAAGGGGCTTGAAAACGGTCACAGTGGATGGGCAAGAGCTGGAGAGGAGGGTCCACTTCAGGAGGAAGAGGCTGATGGTGGAGCCTGCAAGAGAAGCAGACGTGGCCAGTACACAGCCGGCGTGCCTCACACCTTTCATTTACAGCCTCGGAGTCTGCAGTGGGCTTTGCAGCGCTCTGGTTTCCCTAGCTGAAACCAATGAGGAAGATGGGATGGGGCTGGCCTGAGAATTTGCTAAAATGCAGGAGTCATGTCCTGTGGTGAAAGGGAATGAACTCCTCGTCTATCCTGAACTCCTTTAAATATTCGGGGTACACTGTGTGAGTCGGAGATGACTTAGCTGCTCAGAAGAAGGAAGGGAGTAAGGGAAGCCTTGGATCAAAGGTGCCCAACAGTTTATAGCCTCAGACTTCATGTGTCTATTTTGTACATCTTTTGGCTGCAAGCAACTGAAAACCCAATTACCAATGACTTAAAGGAAAAATTATTATCTTACATATTGAAAATGCTGAGGTAGTTCTGATCTTGGATTGGTTAATTCATGGGTTTAACAAAAACATCAATGTCCTACTTCTTTCTGTTATTTCGTTTGTTGCTTTCCACATGTTGATTTATCCTCTTTGGCTGAGTCCCCTCATGGTTCCCAGAAGACTTTGGCAATTCCAGGCTTCAAATGTGGACATTTAGAGGCAGAAAAAAAGCCTAGTTTCCTTGCTTTTAAGAGTAAGAAAATATTTCCTGATACTCCTTCGGTCCTGGAGAGACTCAGACCTCTCTCCATGTTTTGTTATCCAGGTTATATCACAAACCCATTCCTAAATCAGTCACTGGACAGGCGAATTACCATGGAAGGGGCGCACTTCCCCTGAAGCACATGGATGCCCGATACCTGAACAAAATCAGGATTTGTTATCATGAGAGAGAAGGATGTCATGTTTTCTCTTGAGTTAGGATGCTAAGTTCTTCAGGTATAATGGAGACGAGGGTAGAGATGACCTGGCCAGTACTATTTGCCTTACCTGAGCTGGGGGTCCCAGTCAGGATATGCTGGCTGTGCTGGGGTAGCTGTGGTTGGTTCCTTGGTGGAGACTGAGATTCTCACTGGAGCAGTAGGTTGTGGGTTCAACCAGATGACCTTTAAGGCAACTTACAATCCTTACCACGAGCCTGGTATTGTGCTGGGCCCACAGCACAGTATCTCTTACAATCTTCATCTCAGATCTGCGAGTGAAGAATTATTATTCCTATCTTCAGGTAAGGGATTAAAATTATGTAACTTTCCCAAGGTCAATAGTAAGTGAGAGTGGGAATATGAAATCTGGTTAGTCCACGTATAACATAAGTGTTTGTCCAGTGTATGTCTCACTATGTCTTTCTTCCAACTTAAAATCTTCCATGAGTCTGGAACAAGCCTGGGAGTGTGGCTTAGACCTGTACTTATCAAACTCTCTTTGGCTAAGAGCCAGATTTTTTAAAAATTTTAATCCATTATGGATCAAAATTTTTTGTAAAATATAAAAAAAGAAATACTTGGAAAATGAAATGAAAATATAATAAAGATATACAAAATACAAGCCCTGTTTTAAATTATTTAATATAACACACACACACACACACACACACACACACACACACACACAGATAATCTGTCAAATTGCTATAAGATTTTCCAAACTCTTAATTTCTGTACTTACCTTGCCACAAGCTGGCAACAAACAGATCATGGACCAGCCCTGGACTTCAGCCCACACTGAGTAGCACTGATTCAGACAGCTTTCTGCCTCCATCCTCTTCCCTGGACTGCAACTAAAGATATTCAATGATCGGATGCCTCTGCCGAGGTGACAGTGGGAGAATTACTGGTTGTAATGTTAAGGCAAACATCAGAGGAAGAGATTAGATTTTGCCCTGTTGTTTTCATAGGAACTTCTGTTTTCTTTCTTCCTTTCTTTTTTCTTTTTTTCTTTTTTTAGAAGAAGAAAATTTTATTATTCAGTAAGCATTAACTAGAACGGGATGTTTGTCATAGGCAATTTGCACATAGATTGCAAAGTCAGAAAACAAAATTCACCCTTCTATACAGACAAGCCCATACAATCCTTTTTCCATACACGTTCTCAAGATAAACATGACTAGTCCTCAACTTGACTAGTCCTCAAGTAAGACGACTTGACTGCACTATTTGTTACACATCCTAGATTCACCTGCTAGCAGGGGTGACCGTCTATGTTTGCTAATTGGATTTATCCAAAGGAAAAATAAATTTCTTCATATTTTTGTGACAAGAGGTGAGTTTTGGAGAGAGGTGCCTGCCCACGTTAGGCTCCTACTCTCCGGAAGAGACGGGAAGTAGGGGCACTGTCTTCCTTAATGATTGCATTTCAAAGAGATGGCTCCCGGGTACTTGAGAAAGACATTCCTGAAGGGAAGAAAGCTGGCAAGAGGCTTATTTACCTTTTAAAAAGATTTACATAATTTCAAACAGGTAGAGAAAGAACTTAAAATTACAAGTTTTCTAAAGTAAATGCTCACAGGGAAAGTTAAGCCTCTTTTTTGGAATTTTTAAATTCAGAGGTACAAGTGCAGGTCTGTTACATGGGTAAACCTGTGTCGTGAGGGTCCACTGCACAGATTATTTCATCTCCCGGGTATTAAGCCTAGTGCCCATTAGTTATTTTTCCTGATCTTCTCCTTCCTCCCACCCTCCACCCTCCAGGACGTCTATTTTCTTCAAGAGATTTATATTAGACTTGAGAAAACAATTTCTCCTTCCTTCCTTCTTTCCTTCCTTCCTTCCTTCCTTCCTTCCTTCCTTCCATCCTTCCTTCCCTCCCTCCTTCCTCCCTCCCTCCCTCTCTCTCTCTTTCTGTTTTTCTTTCTTTCTTCTTTCTTTGTTTCTTTCTCCTTCCTTCCTTTTCTTTCTTTCTTCTTTCTTTCTCCTTTCCTTCCTTCCTTCCTCTCTCTTTCTTCTTTCTTTCTTTTCTTTCTTTCTTTCTTTCCTCCTTTCTTTCTTTCTTCTTCTTTCTTTGTTTTTCTCCTTCCTTCCTTCCTTTTTCTTTCTTTCTTCTTTCTTTCTCCCTCCCTTCCATCCGTCCTTTCTTCCTTCCCTCTTTCTTTCTTTTCTTTCTTCTTTTTTTTTCAGCGTCTTGGCTCTGTCACCCAGGCTGGAGTGCAGTGGCATGATCACAACTCACTGCAACCTCAAACTCCCGGGCTCAAGCGATCCTCCCACCTCAGCCGCTCAAGTAGCTGGGATTACAGGCATGTACCACCACACCTAGCTAATTTTTTGTATTTTTTTTGTAGAGATGGGGTTTTGCCACATTGCTCAGGCTGGTCTTGAACTCCTGAACTCAAGTGATCTACCTACCTTGGCCTCCCAAAGTGCTGGGTCTACAGGCGTGAGCCACTGTGCCCGGCCTCCTAGGAAACAATTTCTTGATGGTGATTTTCCATCTTTTTGCTGTGTAGGAAAGAGATTGAGCTCCATGGTAATATGTGAGAGAGAAGAGACTCAAGGGACTAAGAACCTGTACCACAAAAGGAAGGTCTGTTTTGGAGATTTGCTGGAGCTTCCCCATTGGATGTGTCATTGAATGATGATTCATCCTGGCCAAAAATAAAAGCTTCTTAAGCTGGGTGACTCTAAGTTTGTGTGTGGTTTACGCTTGGACATGCGTTACTTTTATGACATAAAAGTGACTTCAATCTGGTAAGATATATTTATAAACATAGAGGTCCTTTCATTTATTAGGAAATTCCAATTGTGTTACGGGGTCTTCTCAAGAGATCTAAATCTATTCTCCTCTAAGATTTAGGAAATCTAAGCCGGGCATGGTGTCACTCCTGTAGTCCAAACACCTTGGAAGGCCGAGACGGGTGGATCACTCAAGGCCAGGAGTTTGAGGCCAGCCTGGCCAACGTGGTGAAAGCCTGTCTCTACTAAAAATAGAAAAATTAGCCAGGTGTGGTGGCATGCACCTGTAATCCCAGCTACTTGGGAGGCTGAGACATGGGAATCACTTGAACCTGGGAGGCAGAGGTTGGAATGAACCACTACACTCCAGCCTGGGTGACAGAGTGAGACTGTCAAAAAAAAAAAAAAAAAAGTTTGAAGAAATCTGGAATGATCATTTGTCCAGTATATGAAACTCTGAGAATACTACACATGTGGAAACTAGAATCTATCAGAAATTCCAGGATGCTCAAATATCTTCTCCCTCTCCTTCATTCACAAATGATTTGAACACTTATATTTTTCCTTCTACTGCTTTCTACTGATTTTCCTTCTACTGCTGTGAGTCTGATGGGCTTCAATACCATTGTGGTTGACTTATCCAAATGTGACTTTTCAATTCTGTGACTTTTATATCTCCAATGACCTTTTCTTTGCCTCTACACAGCAATTTGCTCTAACGGTTACAGCCTGGATTTTGTTATTCCTCAAAATGATACCACCTCCAAAAATCCCTTCATTTGAGCATTCCATTCTCTTGCCACAGCCTCCTCTCTTTAGTGATTCAGATACTCCCACTACAACTCTTCCTTGACCTCATGATCAACATGCTTCCTTTTCTTTTTTCAGCTCTCTCCTGCCTTTATTTCCTGCATTATTGAACTTAGACTGCTTGGTTCATCTTTTCATTCAGGCTCTTAGCTATACAGACATACCTTAGAGATATTGTGGATTTGGTTCCAGACCACTGCAAGACAGTGAATATCACAACAAAGCCAGTCCCACAAATTTTTTGGTTTCCCAGTGTATGTAAAAGTTATGTTTATACTAGACTGTAGTCTATTAAGTGTGCAATAGCAGTATGCCTAAAAAAGTACATCAATATACATATCTTATTTGAAAATACTTTATTGCTAAAAATGCTAATGATCACATGAACCTTCAGTGAGTTGTAATCTTTTTGCTGGTGGAGGGTCTCACCTTGATGTTGATGGCTGCTGATTAAGGTGGTGGTTGCTGAAGGCTGAGGTGGTTGTAGCAATTTCTTAAAATAGACAGCAGTGAAGTTTGCTGGATTGATTGACTCTTTCACAACAGATTTCTCTGTAGCATGTGACGCTGTTTGATAGCATTTTGCCTACAGTGGAACATCTTTCAAAAGTGGAGTCAGTTCTCTCAGGCCTGTCTGCTGCTTTACCAATTATGTTTATGGAGTACTCTAAATGTTTTGTTGTCATTTCAACAATATTCACAGCATCTTCCCCAGGAGTAGATTCCCTCTTAGTAACCACTTTCCTTGCTCATTCATAAGAAGCAACTCTTCATCTGTTCAAGTTTGATCATGAGATTGCAGCAACTCAGTCACATATTTTCAGTCTGCATTTCTAGTTCTCTTGCTATTTCCACCACATCTGCAGTGATTTCCTCCACTGAAGTCTTGAACTCCTCAAAGTCATTCATGAGGGTTGAAATTAACTTCTTCCAAACTTCTGCTAAAGTTGATATTTTGACCTTCTCCCATGAATCACGAGTGTTCTTAATGGCATCTAGAATGGTGAATCTTTTCCAGAATGGTTTCAATTTACCTTTCCCACACCCATCAAAGGAATCATTATGGCAGCTATAGCCTCACACAATGCATTTCTTAAATAATAAGACTTAAAAGCCAAAATTACTCCCTGATCCAGGGGCTGCAGAGTAGATGTTAGCAGGCAGGAAAACAACATTCACCTTTTTGTAAATCTCCATCAGAGCTCTTGGGTGACCAGGAGCATTGTCAATGAGCAGTAATATTTTGAAAAACATCTTTTTTCTGAGCAGTAGATCTCAACAGTGGGCTTAAAATATTAAGTAAACCATGCTGTAAAGAGATGTATTGTCATCTTGGCTTTATTGTTCCATTGATAGAGCATAGGCAGAGTAGAATTAGTATAATTATTAAGGGTCCTAGGATTTTTAGAATGGTAAATGCCCTCAAGGTGGGCGGATCACAAGGTCAAGAGATCAAGACCATCCTGGCCAACATGGTGAAACCCCATCTCTACTAAAAATACAAAAATTAGCTGGGCATGGTTGCGCATGCCTGCAGTCCCAGCTACTCGAGAGGCTGAGGCAGGAGAATCACTTGAACCTGGGAGGCAGAGGTTGCAGTGAGCCAAGTTTTCGCCACTGCACTCCAGCCTGGTGACAGAGCGAGACTCCGTCTCAAAAAAAAAATAAAAATAAAAATAAAAAAGGACCTTGGCCTCAACTTAGAGTCACCAGCTGCATCAGCCCCTAACAAGACAGTAAGCCTGTCCTTGGAAGCTTTGAAGTTAGGCATTGACTTCTTTCTAGCTATGAAAGCCCTAGATGACATTTTCTTCCAATATAAGAATGTTTTATCTACATTGAAAATCCATTCTTTAATGTAGCCACTTTTATCCATGATCTTAGCTAGATCTTCTGTTTAATTTGCTGCAGCTTCTACGTTAGCACTTGCTGTTTCACCTTGTACTTTTACGTTAAGAAGATGGTTCTTTTTCCTTAAACCTCATGAACCAACTACTCATAGCTTCCAACTTCTCTTCTGCAGCTTCTTCTAATCCAGAGCAAGGACCTTGAATTGAAGAGAGTGAGGGCCTTACTCTGGATTATGCTTTGACTTAAGGGAGTGTTGTGGTGGATTTGATCTATCCAGATCCCTCAAACTTTCTCTGTATCAGCAATAAGGCTGTTTCACTGACTTACCATCTGTGTATTCAGTGGAGTATCACTTTTAATTTCCTTCAGAAACTTTTCCTTCACATTTACTGGCTGTTTGGTACAAAAGCCCTAGCTTTTGGCCTGTCTCAGCTTTCAACATGCCTTCCTCACTAAGCTTAATCATCTCTAGGTTTTAATTTGAAGTAAGAGATGTGTGAGTCTTCCTTCTCCTTGAACACTTAGAGACCATTGTAGGATTATTATTTGGCCTAATTTCAATATTGTTACATCTCAAATAATAGAGAGGTCCTAGGAGAAGGAGAGAGCTGGAAGAGCAGGCAGTTGGTGGAGAAGTCAGAGCACATACAACATAAATGAAATGTGAAATTACTTTCTAAACCCCATGGAGGGAAATGAACAATTCCCTTTTCCCCTAAAATAATGCTACTAAAGCAATTAGACTTAGTCTAGACAAGACAGAAGATGTATAAGTGAAACATTAGAAGATCCTTAAATGAAGAGTGAATTGTAGTTGTTGGTGAAAAACAAGATTAATTTTATATTTGCTACCATAAAGTTTTTGTGTATCACTTATATCAATAATGTTATCAAAAGCTTACAAAAACAAAAATAGATTTACTTTTTAAAATGTTGTTTTAATTTTAGAGAAAATTGTCTATTTAAATTGAGTGAAACTGCATGCGACATATGAACAAAAGTGACAGTTCAATACAACATAAGAAAATCAGAGCAAGGAAAATATTTTTCTGACTTTGAAGGCAAAAATTCATGCACAAATAATCCTCAAACTAATTTCAATAGAACCTATTTTCTGCTCATTATAGAACAAGCCATAATCTCAACAGTAGAGAGATTTGAACAAATTGGTAACTTTGAAATAATTTAAGATGTAGCATATGGTTCTAGATATTGCTTTAAGAGATAAAAATTACAATATAAGTGATAGCAATTTATAGGATGAAATTAAAGCATTTTATATTTTGTGCAAGAAAATAGAATACACATGACATTGATCAGTTAAGTTCTCTGTCTTATATGGACACAGTTTGTGGTGCCCCAAAACAACTACAGTATTAGCATCAAAGATCACTGGTCACAGGACATCACAACAGACTGAATAATCATGAAAACTTTGGAATATTCTGAGAATTACCAAAATGTGACACAGAGACACAAAGTGAGCACATGCTGTTGGAAAAATAGTGTCGATAGACTTGCTCGTCATGGATTGCCACGAACCTTCAATTTATGAAAAAACCCTGCATTATCTACAAAGCACAATAAAGTGAAGTGTAATAAAATGAGGTACACTTGTACTCTCAACTCCTCCTCCTCGTCTTTTTGTTATACTCACGGGGCAAAACAATTCTGCCTTCTATGTATTGCTCCCCCGGCTGCCAAAAGAATCCTGAGAAAAATGATATAGTCTGGCAGACCATTTCAATTCATGATCACCTACCTCAACTGAGCTCAACACTGCCTGGGAATCTACTACATTTCTCTAGAGTCGTTTGTCTTCCGTGTCTCTGCAAACATCATTTCAAACCTTTGTTTCTCTCCTTAAACCGCCCTGCATTCTCTCCTTATTCATTCTCTTAAGAGTAAATATAAGTCATCTGATGAAATTAACCTCAACTTCCTGCCAACGATTCTTCAAACCAACCTGCTTCTGTACCCACCGTCTCTACTTTCTTCCTGTTATTATTCAGAGGAGGTGCCCTCTTCATTTCAAAGGTAGTTCTTTGCTCTGCCTGCATCCCACCCCGTCCTGCTTTCTGAGTAACCTGACTTCATCAGTTCTCCCATCTCACTCTTCTGTCTTCAACTTCTTCTTCTCCTCTCCTGGCCCAATGTCTTGAAACAGTTGTCCACGCTTGTCATCCTATTATTATTATTTGAGATGGAGTCTTGCTCTGTCACCCAGGCTGGAGTGCAATGGCATGATCTTGGCTCACTGCAACTTCCACCTCCCTGGTTCAAGCGATTCTCCCACCTCAGCCTCCCGAGTAGCTGGGATTACAGGCGTGCACCACCACACCCGACTAAATTTTGTATTTTTAGTAGAGATGGGGTTTCACCATGTTGGCCAGGCTGGCTGGTCTTGAACTTCTGACTTCAGATGATCTGCCTGCCTTGGCCTCCCAAAGTGCTGGGATTGAAGGCGTAAGCCACCACGCTGGTATAGCAGGCATGAGCCACCCCATTTTTTCACCTCCTATTTCATGTGCAACCATCCGTCTTCCATCCCTACCGCTCTACATCCCTACAGCTCTACATCCTTACAGCTCTTCTTGATAAAATCAACAGTGCCTTTCATGTGTTCCATGCACTAGGGGCTCTTTTGCCTTGATTTTACTTGACGTTTTGATAGCATTTGATCTAGCTGACCATTCTCTTTCTCGAAATAGTTTCTTTCCTTGTCCTCAGGGATGCCACTCTCTTCTGGTGTTTCTTTTTATCGCTCAGGCCACTCTTTAATGAGTCTCTTTGACAGCTTCTCCTGCTCTGGCTTATGAATATCTGGGTTCTTCGGAGCTTGGTTCTGGGCTCTCTTCTCTTCCATTCTGCACTGTTTTCCCTTGGTAATCTTACCCACTCCCACGATTTTACTCACCATCTTTGTATCAATGACCCCCACATAGTGATCTCCAGACTCAATCTTGATGTCCATCTGACCACGTGTATATTTTCACTTAAAGACTCAGAGGCACCTCCAACTCAGCAGGACCAGTGTAGACCAGATCACCTTCCCCTTCAAACTTGCTGCTTCTCCACCCAGCTGCTCAGACAAGAGATGAGGGTTCACCTTGGCCGTCGCCCACTCTCACCATTCTGACCTAAATAATTGCAGACTATTTGAAACCTTGCACTTCTCTCAATTCCTGTTTATTACCACCTTAGTCCAGAACACAATTTCTTCCTGTCTGGACTGGAAGCAAATGGCTCCTAAATGGTCTCATACAGAAGGTATATATTATCCTCTCTGTTTAATAGCCTTCAATGGCTTCCCTTTGCTCTTAGAGTCTAAATTTTTGACCATAGCCTACCATCCCTGAGTGATCAGACCCATGCCCACTTCTTCAAGCTCGTCTTAAATCTCTCCCCATCACATATAATGTCCCTTACTCTCTGTGATTCATCTTTTAGTTTCTCAAAGAGTTTAAGTTTCTTCTTGCCTCAGGGCCTCAGAACATGAGATGGGATGGAGAAGTCAGAGAGCTGTGAAGAGAGCCCAGGGTCCAGCTGGGTCGTGAATTGGTACAAATTTACCTTTGCTCCAGAGATAAACCCCTTCTCCCCCGTTCTTTGCTGTTCTTAGTGGTCTTTAAATCTGCAAAATGCTCTGCTTCTTACCACCTCTCTCTTCATTGGGCCAGCTCCTGCTCATCCTTCATGTCCAGTTGAATGTTACCATCTCATGAAAGCATCCCCTAGCCCTGAGTCTAGGTTAGTTGCTTTCTGAAATCTCACACTTCTAATTAATAGAAATAATCATGATTATAATAACATTATATAGTTAACTTTATAATATCTGTTTCCTCAACTAGCTATTAAATCCGTGTAGCTGGAGCCAGGATTGGTGGGAGGCTGAGGAAGGAGGATCACTTGCACCTAGGAGTTCAAATCCAGCCTGGGCAACATAGTGAGACCCCCATCTCTATTTAAAAAATTAAAAGAAATCCACGAGGGCAAGGATTATGTCTGTCTTATTCACTGCTTTTTCTTCGACACCCAGCATAGTACCTGGAGCATAATAAGTTCTGAGTGAATAAGTGTGTATCTTGTAAAACCTCTGGCTTGGCTTGCCTCCAAGCCAGAGGTTTGGAGACTCCTTTCCAAAAAAAAAAAAAAAAAAAAAAGAAAAAGAAAAAGATGTAATAGATGACTGCCAAATAGAACTCTGATTGACATGAGGCAACCTGTCTTTCCACACAAAGTGGATGACTCCATCTTTGCAGATTATGGAGAAGCAATCTGCTTCTCTTTCGATTTGGGTGTCATGATCATCAGACATGAATGTGGAGATTATTATGTAGGGAGATTCAATTAGTTACTTAATGCCACATACTGACCAAAGTTACTAATTCAGCCTTGGTGAAGAGTATATAATAGGGTCAGTTTGCGGAAATAACATCCCACTTCCCTAAGTAATGCAGGAAGACTTCTTTAAATAAGCATAAGATTCCGGGTTGTATACTGGACACACAATGAGCTCTGTTATGCAATGGCTTCATGACCTTGGAAAATATTTTTTTCTTGAATAATAGTAAGGGAGAATAGAATAGTTGGCTGAATTCTCATATTTCATATTGCTAGCAGATCAGCAGCAATGATGGAGAAAGCATATTTGAGCAAAGTCCAGTGCTGTAATCGAATAAGCTTTCTACATGGTTGATCTAATCTATACTTAATAGTATGTGTAGCTATTATTGCTCTAAATGGCAGTTAGGCATGTATATTAAGCTGTTCACTGGATTTATAGAACTCTAGGGGCTATAATTCATAATGTGTATTTTTTTACTTCACCAAGCCAAGCATTTCTGAGGTCACCTTCAGGAAATTGAAAGTGGGCACTCAAAAATGGTTGCTTCCTTTCTTTCCCTTCCAAGTGCAGGGACAAACCATTTACTCTTTCCGCCCAGAAATGGTGGTAGGGAGGCAGAAGGCACTGTAAGGAAAAGCCCAGGTCTATGATTGGTACAAGCGCAAGGCATGTCCAGCTATTTTCCATGGTGTTGGCACCTATTGTTCCATCTGGTTGGATGGGAGCATTTTCCCAAATGTCTGCGATAGAGCTGCTTTTATTAAGTATTTACTCTGTGCCGGGAGACTTTTATGTATTCAAGCCTTTATTTTTTCTGACGACACCTTGAAAGAGTAATTATTCTCTCCATGTTACAGAGGAGAATACCAAGCTAGGGAATGTCTCAAGGTCATGTAGCTGAGAAGTAAGTGGAAGCCTGGGCTCAGACTCCAGAGGCTGTGCATGTCACCCTGTGCTGTAGAGTCAGAGGTACGCTGTGTCACTTTCCTTAGGTCTTTTATGTCCCCCTTGTCCTCTCCAGCCAGGGTGCCAAGGAGGCCTCTGGAAGCTAAAGGCTCAATGGCAGCTCAATTCTGCTGGGGGAGGGAGCTGTTGATAATACACAGATAAATGGGAACTGCCTGGCAAATTAGGAGTGCAGATGCTGTAGACACAGGAATGAGTCCTGGAGGAGGATTCCAGTGGGAATAGGCCTGGTGGACTGGAGGAGTCAGTGGCTGGAATGAGGAACTACAGGCTCGAACAGAATTTAGAGGTCATCTAGTTTAGCGACTTTTAAGCTTTTAATTGAAGGACTGCTGCTATTAAATTTCTCCAGAGACTCTCTGTTTTAAAATGTTTTGGCTGCTTAAAAACTTTTTAAAGAAATAATTCCATTTTCTGATTGCCTTAATCAAAGATGTAATAGATGGGCTGGGCATGGTAGCTCATACCTGTAATCCTAGCATTTTGGGAGGCTGAGGCAGGTGGATCTCTGGAGGCCAGGAGTTCAAGACCAGCCTGGCCAACATGGTGAAACCCCGTCTCTACTAAAAATACAAAAATTAGCTGGGCGTGGTGGCGGGCACCTGTAATCTCAGCTACATGGGAGGCTGAGGCGTAAGAATCGCTTGAACCTGGGAGGCAGAGGTTACAGTGAGCTGAGATCGTGCCACTGCACACTCCAGCCTGAGCGACAGAGCGAGACTCCTTGGCAAAAAAAAAAAAAAAAAAGAAAAGAAAAAGATGTAATAGATAACGGCCAAATAGAACTCTGATTGGCATGGGACAAACTGTCTTCCCACACAAAGTGGATGACTCCATCCAAACAGGGAGAAGTGCTTTTTAATGAGCTTGTGCAGACTTATGAGAGGAGGTGTTGCTAAATGCACAATTTCCATGAGGCTTTTTCAAATTTTGGAAATTGCTCAGACTACCCCCATCACCTGCTATAAGCGCTGTCACTCTTGTCCCCAGGAGCGACTGGCTCCACTGTAGTGGCCACAGAGGTGAATGGTTTTCCCCAAGGGAAACCATTGATTCAGACCTATTTTCTTATTTATTGTTGAGGAAACTGAGTCCCAGACAAGTTAAGTAAAATCTTTGAAGTCACCAAGTGAGTTAGTGCCTAGAAGGGGTATTGAATAATGGAACCCATGTGTCACCTGGGACCCACTAGCCCCTGAAGATATGCAATTGACTGGTTCATTCTGTAGCCAGTTCTGTCGCTTATGAAAGTTGAAAGATCTTCCCATTATTTAAAATTCTGGGTTTATGTTCTTACAATTCAGCTCCCATTTCCTTGGAGTGTTAGGTCTGGTTTTCCCTAAATCACCCCAGGACTAAAGCTGGTTCCCGTATTCCACAGTTAAAACTACTCATATAAGTGTTTTGAGGGGGACACATGTCACAGAATGGGAAGTTTTGTCACTGAACTAACTTGCCTTTCTCCTTTCCTTTCCTTTCCTTTCCTTTCCTTTCCTTTCCTTTCTCTCTCTCTCTCTTTCTTCCTTCCTTCCTTTCTTTCTTTCTTTTTCTTTTTCTTTCTTTCTTTCTTCTTTCTTTTTCTTTTTCTCTTTCTTCCTTCCTTTCTTCTCTCTTTCTTTCTTTCTTCCTTCCTTCTTTCTTTCTTTTTTTCTTTCGTTCTTTCGTTCTTTTTCTTTTTTCTTTTCTTTCTTTCTTTCTTTTTTTTTTTTAAGTTTCGCTTTTGTTGCCCAGGCTGGAGTGCAATGGCACGATCTTGGCTCACTGCAACCCCTGCCTCCCAGGTTCTAGCGATTCTCCTGTTTCAGCCTCATAAGTAGCTGGGACTACAGGCTCGCGCCTGACTATTTTTTTTGTATTTTTAGTAGAGATAGGGTTTCATCACGTTGGCCAGACTGGTCTTGAACTCCTGAACTCAGGTGATCCACCCGCCTCGGCCTCTCAAAGTGCTGGGATTACAGGTGGGAGCCACGGCACCTGCTCTCTTCTTTCTTTTCATCTCTGATCTCTTCCCCTTCCTTCTGCCTTGTGCTTCACTCCCAGGGTGGAAGAACCCATTTGCTTCTTCTCTAATTTCTGTCAGTGGCTGCATAGGTAACCACATTGTCATCACAGATTGCAGGGGCTTCTCACCAGTTCCACCTTCCTTACCTCCAAAGCCAGCATCACAGACAAACAGATTTTCATTCTCCACTGTTTTCCAAACTCAAGTGTAAGGGCACAGAGTAGACATGGAAGAGAGGAAATGGATGCTTTTCTTAGAGAATAAAGGCTTGTTGAAAAAAAAATCCCATCAAAACCTCATCTCTGTGCTCCCTGTTCAAAACACATATGTACCTTCATACCTGAGATTTCATTTGGCAGTTATAGCAAACCTGGTATATTAGTCAGCTCAGGCTGCCATAGCAAAATACCACAGACTGGGTGGCTTAAACAACAAAAACGTGTTTTCTCAATGTTCTGGAGGCTAGGAAGTCCAAAATCAAGGTGCTGGCAAGGCAGGTTTCATTCTGAGTCCTCTTCTCTTGGCTTGGAGGTGGCCGTCATCTCACTGTGTGCTCACATGACCTCTTCTTTGAGCACACTTGGGGGTAGTGGGGGGAAGACAGCAAGCTCTCTAGTGTCTTCCTCATAAGGGCACTAATCTCATCCTGAGGGTCCCACCCTTATGACCTCATCTAACCCTACTCACCTCAAAAAGTTCCCCACTTCAAGTACCATCACACTGGGGGAAAGGGCTTTAAAATATGAATTTTGGTGAGACACAAACATTCAGGCCATAGCACCTGGGGAGACGTTTTGCTAGTATTCCAGATGAGAAACTAAGCCTTAGAGAAATAAATCTATTAGAGTGAGCCTATGAGAGAGGACTGGTGGGAGTGTGCATGATGATGGCCTATCCAGGCACACTGAGGCCCACCCAACTCCTCCCCTTTGCCCTGCCAGCTCAAGAGCGCAAAACTATTTCTTCTAGATTCTTAAAAGGTTGTGATTGTTTTAAAATAGGTGCACAAATTCTTGGACACTCCTCCCTTCAAAAGGCAGAATCTAATTCCTTTTCCCTTGAATGTGGGCTAGACTTACTGGTTCACTTCTAACAAACGGAATATAGCAGAAGTGATGGTGTGAGATTTCTGGAATTAGGTCGTAAAATATACTGCAACTTTCTCCTTATTCTCTCTTGCATCATTGGCTCTGGGGAGGACAGCTGCCATGTTGCGAGGACACTCAAGAAGCCCTGTGAAGAAGAACCAAGGCCACCTGCCAACAGCCCTGTGAGTGTGCCATGTTACTCATGAATCCGTTAGCCCAGTCAGGCCACCAGGTGACTGCAGCCCTGGCTGTACTTCTGACAAAGCCTCATTAGAAATCCTGAGATGGAATTCCTAGTTGTCACTCCCAGACTCCTGACTTACAGAAGCTGTGAGATAACAAATGACTGTTGTTTTAAGCAGCTAAATTTTGAAGACAGCAATAGATAATTAATACAAAGAGAAAAGTATTTTATTCTATACTCAGTTCTCCATTCTCCATGTTACCCATGTGGCCAAGCCAGATTGACATTTCTCATGCTCCCAGACAGCCAGTGGGTCAAAGAAGAAATTAAAAGAGAAATTTAAAAACATCTTGAGACAAACAAAAGTGGATACACAACATACTATAAAACCTGTATCTTAATTTTTCATGATACAAACAGAATTATATTAGGAAAGAAGAATGATGCAGTAATTTACCTGTGAAAATGACTTTAGGAGTGTAGGATAATCATTAAGACCACGGACTGTCTTTTAATAGCTGGATGACCAAAGGTAAATTATATAGCTTCTCTGGGTCTCATTTTCACTACATGAAAAAATGGAGATATTAATAGTGCCTAATAGTTTTACCTGATAATTAATGAGCTAATATATATCAAGTACTTAGCAAAGTAGCCAGCAAATGACTTTAGTCAATGTTCATATTGCCATTAACATAAATATCAGGTATACTGGAACAATTATACACACAAACAGATGATAAATTGGAAGTGCAGAGCCTATGTTTTCTCCCAGGTTAACCTGTGATCAACTCATGATTTAAAAAGCTGGGTTAATATGGTTGTTTAGAAACCCTGACTGTCAAATATGATCTACAGAATGTTAGATTATTAAATCCCAATAAAGCAAATGTAACAGAAAAAAATGACTATCAGCTTCCTCTTGGAGAAAACAGCAATAATGCCATCTTATTGCTACATAATACATACCAAATGGCTTAAAATAAGTGACTAGCTTAATAAACTGTAGTTGCTTAATAAATTGTAGCTATCATTAACATCTTTTCAGCTGTACAGCTTTTTTTCAGGTGAGTTTCTGTTTGTTTCAGATGCCCACTTCGCTCAGATGAAATGCCAGGCTCAAACTAAAGTCAGTATGCATTGCCTGGAAGGCTAATGGCCTAAGCCTTCCAGGCCAGGGGACTTGTGAACCCTGAAAATTTAAGACAGGTCTCAGTTAATTTAGAAAGTTTATTTTGCCAAGGTTGAGGACATGTGCCCGTGACACAGCTTTGTCACACAGCCTCAGGAAGTTCTGATGACATGTGCCCAAGGTGGTTGGGGCACAGTTTGGTTTTATACATTTTAGGGAGACATGAGACATCAATCAATATATGTAAGAAGTACATTGGTTCCATCCAGAAAGATGGGGACAACTCAAAGCAGGGAAGGGGCTTCCAGGTCACAGGTAGGTAAGAGACAAATGGTTGCATTCTTTTGAGTTTCTGATTCTTTTCCAAAGGAGGCTATCAGATATGCATCTATCTCAGTGAACAGAGGGATGACTTTGAATAGAATGGGAGGCAGGTTTGCCCTGAGTAGTTCCCAGCTTGACTTTTCCCTTTAGCTTGGTGATTTTGAGGCCCCAAGATTTTCCTTTCACAGACTCAGGATGTCTTCTTCAGTTCAGGATGGACAGCCTCAGAGTAGAGAGCTTCAGGCCCCCTCTCCTTATCTTCTGCTAACCTCCATTCTTACTCCTACCCTTTCATCTCAGAATTTTCGCTTTGATGTTTCCCACTTCCTTCCTATGGTTACTTTAACCGAAGTGAGTCAGGTCTTACTGAAAAACTGACCACAGCCTGTCCGCTCCCAGCCTTCCCCAGACCAGGGCTGCCCAGGCAGAGCGTGAGGGGGACTAGTGTTTACTCAGCTCATTTTTTTCCTCCTCTCTCCTCTAAGTCACGGGGCTTTGAGTAGGGCTTCCCCAGCCACCGTGCCCCTCCCAGCAGACCGCAGTCAGAAGCCAATCTCACATTTGTCTGGTGGCTCAGAGAGGGGACAGAAAGAGCAGCAGCTTATGTCCTTGGCTATCCTCTCAAGTGGGCTAATTTGCTTATTTTCAACTCTGTTGGGTCCAGCCCTGTTGCCTCTGATCTCAGCTCAAAGAGGATTTGGCGGGAGTTTTTGGTTGTGATAACCAATAACAACCAACTATACGCACTGCGAACATCTCCTAGTGCCAGAAGCCCTGTTAGCTCATTATCTTAATCCTCAGGATAACCCAGGCAATTTGTATTCACCCTAAAAACTTCCCCTGGCCGGGTGTGGTGGCTCACGCCTGTAATCCCAGCAATTTGGGAGACTGAGGCAGGCGGATCACTTGAGGCCAGGAGTTCCTAACCAGCCTGGCCAACATGGTGAAACCCCATCTGTACTAAAAATGCAAAAAATTAGCCGGGCGTGGTGGCACATGCCTGTAGTCCCAGCTACTTGGGAGGCTGAGGCAGGAGAATCACTTGAACCTGGGAGGCGGAGGTTGCAGTGAGCTGAGATCATGCCATTGCACTCCAGCCTGGAGACAGGGCGAGACTCCGTCTCGAAAAGCAACAACAAAAACAAAAACAACCTCCAAAAAACCTTCCCCTGTTTACCTTTCTAATTTTGGTACCTACAGAATCTCCCCGTTAGCCTTGAAAATCAGCATGATCTTTAAGGATTTAGGAGCAAATCTTTAAAGGATTGAGTTGTGGGAAGACCATGATGTCTTTGCTACTGGCTTTTGCAGTGAGAATAGCTTTTTCTCTGATCAGGTTTGGAGCCTTCCCTCTCTCCTGGGGGTAGGGGGTAGCTGGCTTCCTTTCTCTGAAATGCAGAATTCATTCACCCACTCTCTTTTGTCTTGGGAGCTTTGAGAGAACAATTTTAGTCAGACAAGAGTCAACTGACACCAGAACATGATGTGAATAAGATACATTTATTTATTCAAAATTAAAATCTGCTATGAAGACAGACAAACAATGTAACATTCCCAGAGGAATTGAATAAATTCTAGTTAAAACTGAGTTCTATTAGAACCAAATTTATTTTTATTTTTATTTTTTGAGACAGAGTCTTGCTCTGTCACCCAGGCTGGAGTACAGGGGCATGATATCAGCTCACTGCAACTTCCATCTCCTGGGTTCAAGCAATTCTCTTGCCTCAGCCTCCCAAGTAGCTGGGATTACAGGTGCGCGCCACCATGCCCGGCTAATTTTTGTATTTTTAGTAGAGACGGGGTTTCACCATGTTGACCAGGCTGGTTAGGAACTCCTGACCTCAAGTGATCCACCCGCCTCAGCCTCCCAAAGTGCTGGGATTACAGGCGTGAGCCACCGCGCCCGGCCTAGAACCAAATTTAGGTTGTTATAAATAACAAGCTGGCCACAGCTTTCAAGAATGAAGTGGTTGGGGAATGAGGTTAGGGGAATCCCTCCGAGACACTGGAAGGTGAATTAATCATCAAAGGGGCTCCCTGGTTTCTCTTCCTAAGAGTATTTGTAGCAGTTAGGAAGCCCCAAGCCCAGAGACAAGATAAATTAGAGGGAGGTCAGGGAAAACAGCTCAACAGCTAGAAAGCGTGGTCAGGCTTGGAATGGAAGCTTCTGTTGGCTCCCCAAAGAACATTTTTTTTCCTCCCTTATGTAACTTATAATTTATCTTAAAACACTCAAATACCATAGTGTGTCACCCTATGGAAACAGCTTAAAAACAGGTGAAAATAATAAATATTGAAAAAAATTATAATATTGGGCTTCTTTCTAAATCGTTCACAGAGAAGCTCAGTAAATAAATAGAAATGGGGGTTGAGGTATCAGAGGTAATAAATATTCTATAAGAGAGGTACAATAAGGTTTCTCAAGGGGCTGGGTCAGCTATCCCAGAGCCCCAGATCCGATTTTGGAGACCTCTAATTTATGTCCTAGAGTCTATAGAGTCGCCACCCTGATGTCTCAGTTTCGTATCTTCATTGTCATGTAGGCTTCTATGTAGTTGATGAAGATGTCAAACTCACTCATGGCTTTGTAGATGCCTTTCTCTTGGAGCTGTGCAGAGAGATAAGAAACATACAGTTAAAATCCTTTCTGGGGACTAAATAGGCTCCCCTCCCTCATGCTCATGGATGGGCATGACCTTGAGTGCAGAGGTTGCTTGTTCTCCCTCACGCTGGGAAGTAAACCAGAGGATAGGCCTAGCTGCCTTGGGAAAGGCTGTGCATTGACCTTCATCTCCTCCAGGCCTCCCCCTAGCAAGGGGAGCATTCATTTTGCAAAGCACTGTCTTCAAAATGATGCCTTTTCAACAATTTTAAAGGTCACGTATTCACATGATGATTATGCAGAGTTTGATGAAAAGACATTAGAGGAAGCGCTTCGAAAGCAAGACGGTGAGAGGAGAGGAGGGAGCCTTTTAAATGTCTGTGTTCTCCCACCAACACACTGAGCAGGCCCTGCCCTGCCGCCCTGACCTACTATGAGAAATTCACACCCCCTGATGTTGGCACTCTGTGCAGTGTCTGTCCCCAGCCCACGAGGAGGACATAGGCCGCACGGTTTCTGGGAAATCAGACTGAAAAAGTTCACGCACAGTTGGAAGTGTGAAACCCCATTTCGTTTGGGAACTGACATTCTCAGGCACCTCCGCAGGTGCGAAGGGCAGATGGAAAGCGGGCTTGAACCAACTCCAGGTTAAGTGAGAATCCAGCTTCCTGCTCATTCTGAGTTCTGGGGAGTCTGGGCTGAACCCCCAGGTGTATTTGTATGTGCACATTTATGTGCCAGCTTCCTGCACGTGTGGGTTCAGCCTAGATTCCCAACAAGCTACTTTCTGTACTTTCTGTTTCCTTTGTCACTCTCCCCAGCATGCAGCTCACTGTGTTCACAGGCTGGCCGGCCAGCCTAACCCGCAAGCCTGCAAAGGCAGCGAGCAGTCATTTAGAAACCCCCAAAGACACTTAACAGAAAACAAATACAATCAAGGCAGCAGCTCCTCACTGGCTGAGCAGGTCATACCATCTGTCAGGTTCCCACACTCTCTCCAATGAAGAATGGGGCCTATTGAGTCCCCACCACCTTCCATGCTTTGGGGTTGGGGAGTGGGCATGGGTTGTGCTCTGCAGACCCTCTCTGCCACCATCCAAGCTCACCTTATTAAAGGCATTCTTCACCTGCTCCACGGCCTTGCTCTTGTTTTCACAGGGAAGAAATCGATGCTGTGGAAGAAAAGAGAAAGTGTTGGTGATCCTGGCTTCCAGCTCCATGTCCATCACACTTAGGGGACAAGCTGGTGGCATCATGAGGAGGCCAGATTTATCCAAATGCCTTGCCTCACAGCTCCCAGAGAGAACTGAGCCCTGCTTCCATGGCCCTGGGAGTTAAATGTATTTCTCCAGGACTCACTCCAAGATGTTTGCAAGGCTTGGATGACAACCCAGGTCTTGGGATTCCTTCCTCCCCCAGAACTCTACAGTATCTCCTGCAGTGCTGAGCGAGGCATTCTTCAGCCTGTCCTTTTCTGCCTCTCTCTCCTGTTCCTCCCCGTCAGTCACAGCCACCGAGGAACACTTCTAAGCATCTGAGGAGGGAAGCTACTGGGACCAAACCCTTCACATAGCCTTGTCCTACAAATAGACACCAACTGATTTTCCAATATTGGTGACAGAACAGGGGAAACCATTAGTAGTGAGGGCATCATTTCAGTTGGAGAAATAAATTACCTGGAGGAATTACTCATAGACACTAGCCTGGGGATGAATAGCCCCCTTGTCCCTTCTAAAATGCCAGGGGAAATCCTGTCAGTCAATTGGGCCCTTCTTAGAGCTTTGCTTTCAAAACATTGAGATTAAAAGAGGTGAATGATGTTTCCTCTGCTTGGGAACCTTAGCTCCCCGCCCAGGGTCTAGTTACAAAGAGGCAGTGGAGGCCTGACTGAAGCTCTGGGCTCCTTTTATGAAGAGAGAGGGGAGTAGTTAATAACCCACAAATGACTCACAAATAACAGGAAAGCTGTTTGCAAATTTCACATGTAAATGCCTAGCAGCCACCCCCAACGCCTGCTCAAAGAGAAATGAGCAAGAGATCTGACTCCAGGAGTCTTTCCTCATTTACAGCTAGCTCTGCCAGTCTGTGTCTTTGCTGTGTCTGTGGATGTGAGTGTCCCTGCTGGTCTGTAGGAGATGGTATTTTGGGGGCAGCTGCAAGGGAAAAAACTGATCTGCTACTTACACAGCGCCGTAGCCTCAGCCTGAGGGTCTTCAGGTTCTCCCCCAGGGAGTTCACATGCGCCTTGATGTCTGGGTCTTGGTTCTCAGCTTGGGGCATCACCTCCTCCAGGTAAAACTGGATCATCTCAGACAAGGCTTGGCAACCCAGGTAACCCTAAGGGCAGGAGCCAAAGGTGAGTGAGAGATTGGCGGAGGTGGCTGGGAGGAGGGGCTGCTGCAACTAGCTTAAGAGGACAGCTTGGTTCTAGCGATCCTCCTTCACCAGAAGCCTCCCCGAAGGGACTGAGCCCTTTGTAAACCCTCTGGCTGCTGGATGTGCTGAGTTAACATCTTCCCACTTCTCCTTTTCAAAGCGAAGGAAACAAACCCAATTCCCTGCAATCAGGAAGCAGAGTCTCCCTTCCCTTAATCATGCTGCACACTCCCCCAGCACCCCGCCCCTGCTCTCACCTTAAAGTCCTCCAGCAAGGACTCCTTTAACAACAAGTTGTCCAGCTGATCCTTCATTTGCTGCAGGAAGAACAAAAGGAGAATGAACTTGAGGTTTGGGGAAATAACTGAAATGCGGTCTTTTTGATGCCCTTTCATTTAGAGATTTTTTTTTTTAAATAAAATTGGCTCTGGCCCAAAAAAATCAAAAGGGGAGTTTTAAAAACAGAGGATTCAACAGTGATGGGACCATCACTTAAATCAGGTCCTCCTCCTCAGAGTCAAGTTATTTAAAAAATCTGGCCGATTTTGAAGGGAAAGCAGAAGCTTGACTCAGTCCTGGTCTTCTTTCTGCGGAGCTACATTCGGCTTTAAGGGACACCTATGTCAACCCTTCGGGGCCTTGAGCCCCCCTCATGTCCTGTTCTCTGCTTTTCTTTCTCCCCACTGTAGACATCCAGTTTAGCTTGGAAAGATCCCAGGGATTAAGAAGCTCCTTCTAATGCAGGTTTCCCTCATGTAGAGTGCTTCCCTAAACCACTGGTCTTTCAGGTCTGGAAACGCTCTAAGCAGAGGCAATTTAAATTTCCCTGCTGCAAGGCATGGGGAGCATCTTCACCTCGAATCAGACATTTCTTTACTTCTCCTAGCCAATAAAGTATAGAGCGCCAGCAGGATCTTATAAGTTTCTCAGCACGAGAGAGAACGCATTTACTTTATAAGGCAGGTTTCCTGCACATTTACTGTATCATCTGGCTTAGCTTAACTCACCAAACCCATGGCTTGATCTAGGATTCTCTTAAGAATTTAAGTTTGGGGGAATAGGTGTTGGGGATGGAGGTGGAGGCGCAGGAGGAGGGTTCTTATAGTTCCAGGAGAATGTCTAGTTCAGGCAGTCCCAGGAAGAGAGAAAGGACAGGAAGGAATCATACTCACAAAGAAAGTCTTCACTCTGCTGAAGGCATCTCGGAGATCTCGAAGCATGTTAGGCAGGTTGCCTGGGAAGTGGGTGCAGCTGTTCTCAGACTGGGTGCCCTGGCCTGGGCTGGCCCTCACCCCAGTCAGGAGGACCAGGCAACAGAGCAGTGCTGAGCTGTGCATGCCTTCTTTTGCAAGTCTGTCTTGTGGTTTGGTTTTGCAAGAGCAAGCCCCTGATGTGTAGACCTTCACCTCTCTGTCCCCCTTTTATATTGTAAGCTCAGGGAGGCCTCTTCATTCATTAAAAAGCCACAATCAAGGTTTCCCGGCACAGGATTTTTTCTGCTTAGAGCTCCTCCTTCTCTAACCTCTCTAATAAACTTAGTTTTCAATTTTTGCATCGTAAGCAAAAATGATTGGTTGAACATGAACTTCTGCATTACAGCTATTTTTAGGATGGGCTACCTCTCTTAGAATAATTTTTTAGCTTCTCAATTAAAAAAAGTTGATTTCCTGGGGAGAACAGCTGTTCTGTGCGCAGAGGCCCTCAGCTGTGGGTTCTCATTCGCGTGTTCCTAGGTCACAGTGACGTGGACAAATTGCCCATTCCAGAATACAATGGGATTGAGAAATAATTGGGTCCCCCCAACCTGGGATGAATACCCAAGACTTCTCCTTGCTAACTTAGGCAGTCACCTTAGGTCTCTGGGCCTTAGTTTCCCCAAGTAAAAATGAGGGGGTGGGCTAAATATCCTCAAAGTTCCCAAGCAGCCCTTCCATTTTACTTTCCAGAGACTGGCTTCCTACAGTACAGGCGGGGTCACAGGATGTGTTCCAGGCTCCTTTACCCCGATTTCATTAGGATTCTCAGGCACATGTTTCCACCTCTTCAGCTGTCCCCCACCCCAACTGTGCTTGGGGGAAGTGGGTAAGAGTAGTCTGCACTTGCTGAAAGCTTCTTATATGCTAGTCAGGTAGTGCTCACCATGACCCCTACCGTCTCTATTTTATAGTGAGCAAACTGAGGCACAGAGATATTACATCACCTGTACAAGGGTACACCAGTGCCAACTGAGAATTTGGTTTCCTCACCCTACTGTACACCATCTCCAGCACATAGAATGAAACCTTGGATTAAATTGGCCTTAGAGTTTCTTTTAGTTGTAAGCTTCTGTGGCTGGAGTCTAAAGTTTAAAAGATGGGGTGGAAGAAGTTGAAATAACAAGGAAAAGAAGTCAGGATTCCATGGAGGCTGGATAGGAGGTCCCTTACTTTCCTCTTACCTATCCCTACTTCCCCTTCCCAAAGAAGCCTTAGTAGTGTTGTCTTGGATTTGTGTGTGTGTGTGTGTGTGTGTGTGTGTGTGTGTGTGTGTGTGTAGAAGGTAAGGGGAGCCAGTTGGGTTGCGGCGAGGAGTGTTGCTCTACCTGGGGAAGGACCGGGGCAGTGACATCAGGACTTCTTCAGATATCTGGAAAGTCTCTGGGGATCCTTTGATTGAGCCTTCACCTTCCCCTTCCACAGGGGCTTTGCCTGCCATTCCAGTTTAGACTGTAACTGGGAGGAACACTGACCTAGGTGCAGGAGGCCTGGGCTCTGCCTTGGCCCTGCCACTCTATAGTCAGGGCAAATCACTCATCCTCCCTGTGTCTGTTTTTCATCTGTCCCAACAGGGCAATAGCACCTGTCCTCCTGCCTGCCAGGGAGCATTGAGCTTAAGTAGCCATGGACCCAGATGGAGGGCATTTCCAGTGTTCTGCTAGTTCTTCACCTTTCTGCATCAGCAATGGGACAACTCCAGTGGCAGCAGGTTCTGAGCTTGCTGCACTAGAGAAGGTCACTCACTGCAAGGGGTGCAAACACCTTGGGGCCCAGCCAGCGTGAAGTGAGTGGGAGGGAGGGATGAGAGGGCCCACGCCCACCCTGTGGATGTCCCTGCTGTGTGACCTATGGATCAGGGTCAGGGGACTGTGGTGTCTCTTCCCAACTCTTCAGGGAGTGTCAATGTAGAAACCTAAGAATCAGGAAGTGAGAAAGAGCCTGCTAGAAACTAGTATGGAGCTAACTCAGAACTTACTGGTCCTGCCAGACTTAGACTGGCTTAAGGGTTCTGTCTGAGTTCTGCTGCCAGGAAGCAGAGAGAAGGGGACCAGGACCTGGGTTTCCCCTTCTTGCACCTTTCTCCTTCCCCCTCGGCTCCTGGGTTTTCTGGGCTGTGTCTGTGTTAGCCTGCAGGTCTAACCCCCTCTCTGAGCTGGGTGTTCCAGAAGTGGACTCAGCATGGGCACCAGGCAGGCCAGGGGTTCTGGACTCTGGGTGAGGCTGTGAACCCCTCCTTCCTTTGTTTCCCATCTTGCCTTGTGCTTACCTCACTAGGAAACCTGCAACCCTACGTGGTTATCATTCATGTACACACCATGCCCTGCCGAATCAGCTTTGAGCTCCCTGAAACAGGACATTGTTTTATTAATCTTTGCGTACTTGGTACTTAGCACCAAGTCTGGCCCTTGGAAGGTATCAGCTATACTTGGGATGGGCATAGAAGAGTGCCCTGTAAGCCTGGAGGGTGCGAGGCTAAGGAGGTGGTCTGGGCACAGGTAAGCATTCAGAAGGAGAGGGAGAGTGACTCAGGGATGCAGGCAGCCTCCCTTCAATTTCCTTATATGAGATGTGTGTGTAAATACACACACACACACATACAAAATGTCAGGGAGAAGGGAGGTATGTAAAAGCCATTTGTACCTTTCTTTCATCTATAATCTGTTAAATAGGGTTGAGGTTAGGATCTGACTTCTTTTTTTTTTTTGAGACAGAGTCTCGCTCTGTTGCCCAGGCTGGAGTGCAGTGGCATGATCTCAGCTCACTGCAAGCTCTGCCTCCCGAGTTCAAGCCATTCTCCTGCCTCAGCGTCCCGAGTAGCTGGGACTACAGGCGCCTGGCACCACGCCCGGCTAAGTTTTTTTATTTTTTTTTGTATTTTTATTAGAGACGGGGTTTCACTGTGTTAACCAGGATGGTCTCGATCTCCTGACCTTATGATCCGCCCGCCTTGGCCTCCCAGAGTGCTGAGATTACAGGCATGAGCCACTGTGCCCGGCCCGGATCTGACTTCTTTATTTGTTCTGAAATGTGTAGCTAATTATCTCAAGCCATTTGCTGAAGATTTGATTCTTTCCCCATTGATTTGAAATTACTGTCCACTCTCATTTCAAAATTTCAGAATTTAAGTGGTTGGAGAGAACCATGGGCAAGTTCCCTGGTGCAAGTCCTCATTTAGCATATGGAGATAACGGCTTCTCCATCAATATGTCTCATAGTATTTCTGTCAAGAGATAGATATGAACATTTGAATAAAGACCCTGTGTCCTTATATTGACAAAGCAACAAGAACAACAAACAGGACTCCTATTTCTCAAGTTTTTGAAGATACCTGTTCATCTGAAAAGTCACTGGGGTCCACGGGGAAAAGTCCCAAGCCCATAGGTCATGTCTGAGACATGAATGCCAACACTCACATGTGAGGAGATTTGGGTTTGGATTTTGGTACAAGGCAAGAGCCCATGAAGAGAGGGAAGTGAGAAGGCAGGCACCTATGGATGGATAGAATGTCAGCCTGGGCACAATTTAGTCCTGTGAATTTCAAGAGGACACAAATGCCACTCTCACACTGTGAGCTTCTTGAGGCCAAAAGGCCTGAGTCCAGTTTGCCCTCAAGCCCAGATGCATAGTAGGCATCTAATCAATGCTTATTATACTGATTTTAAATGAATTTTTCCAGTGGGGGATGTACTGGGAAATCAGAAGGTTGTGGGAAGGGGAATACCTCTCTTCTTCCATCCCTGCTCCAAAATATTCTCTCATTTCTGTATTTAGCTGCAAATGAAGGAAAACCTGAGTAAGCATGGCTTTTAAAAGAGGGGGTTGTATTTTATTTTCTGTCTCACTCATCAAGAAGCCCAAAGCAGGCACTCAGATGTCATCCAGGACCCGTTTTTTCTGCATTCTTGTTCTCCTAACCTTTGTTGCAAGGAGATAGGAGAGATAGGAGGTGGTAAAGTCCAAAGGTTTAAAGGCACACCAACCCAGGAGACCCTAATAATCTTTTTAGGAAGCTCCGCCCAGTAAGTTTCATCACTTTAGCTGCAGAGGAATCTGGGCAGGCAAGAACTGCTGGGGTGTGTGTGTGTGTGTGTGTGTGTGTGCTTATGCAAATAGATTTTGGAGGGTGCATTCTACAGTTTACAAGATCTTATAAAGAATCTGCCTCCCATTAGAGCAGTCATCGGCCAACCTCCCCAACAGCACTTGGGTTTTCCTGTTGAGAGCGGGGACTGAGAGACAGGACTAGCTGGATTTCCTAGACCAACTAAGAATCCCTAAGCCTAGCTGGGAAGGTGACCGCATATACCTTTAAACACGGGGCTTGCAACTTAGCTCACACCCGACCAATCAGGTGGTAAAGAGAGCTCACTAAAATGCTAATTAGGCAAAAACGGGAGGTAAAGAAATAGCCAATCATCTATCGCCTGAGAGCACAGCGGGAGGGACAATGATCGGGACATAAACCCGGGCATCCAAGCCGGCAATGGCTACCCTCTTTGGGTCCCTTCCCTTTGTATGGGAGCTCTGTTTTCACTGTATTAAATCTTGCAACTACAAAAAAAAAAAAAAAAAAAAAAAAAAGAATCTGCCTCCCTTGTCGGGCACGGTGGCTCACGCCTGTAATCCCAACACTTTGGGAGGCCGAGGTGGACGGATCACGAGGTCAGGAGATTGAGACCACCCTGGCTAACACGGTGAAACCCTGTCTCTACTAAAAATAGAAAAAATTAGCTGGGCGTGGTGGCAGGTGCCTGTAGTCCCAGCTACTCGGGAGGCTGAGGCAGGAGAATGGCGTGAACCTGGGAGGCGGAGCTTGCAGTGAGCCGAGATCGCGTCACTGCACTCCAGCCTGGGCGACAGAGCGAGACTCCGTCTCAAAAAAAAAAAAAAAAAAAAAAAAAATTTAGCTAGGTGTGGTGGTTGGCGCCTGTAGTCCCAGCTACTTGGGAGGCTGAGGCAGAAGAATGGCGTGAACCTGGGAGGCGGAGGTTGCAGTGAGCCGAGATCGCGTCACTGCACTCCAGCCTGGGCGACAGAGCGAGACTCCGTCTCAAAAAAAAAAAAAAAAAAAGAATCTGCCTCCCAGCTACTCTCATGCTAAGCAAAATGGCAGCCTTCTTGGTGTAGTTACCCCATGCCTTACTGCAATTCTGCAGCTCAAACCCAAGAGTGGGGAGCAGGCTAGCAGCCTTGTGAGGGTGGCTCTGGAGCTGCAGAGGGAAGGTTCAGGGATCCGGGCTTGCTGGACTCTGGGTTTAGACAGCTTGTTGGGCAACACGGTCAGCCGGCAGAGAGCAGGCAGGTTGACGATGCAGGCAGAGAAGGTGAGACCGTGCCCATCTTGGGGATGGGTGACAACTGTCCTGATGAAGAAGCCCCTCCGGGCTTGACTCCTATTTGCCATTAGTAGTTATTTTTTAAAGCTGATAACGGGAGTTTCATTTCTTCTTATCCAGGACATTTAGTGTGTAAAATAGCTTTGCCAGCTTGAAATTTCTAGTATTCCCTCGAATAAGCTTCCTCAGCTCCTAGGACAGAGGCTTCCTCAGAAGCTGTGCTGCAACAGACCCCAATGCCTATCACACACCCAAAGTGTGGCCAGTTTGGGGTGCAAGGAGACAGGAGTCTGTGAGCACTGTATTCCTCTGGGCTTTCCTGACATTGGCTTTGATAGTGTCTGGGGTACTTCAGAATAAACGCCTGGTGGGCCAGAAGTTTAAGAGGAGCCCGGGCTGGGGCTGGCCCTTAGGTGGAATGGAACAAGGGTTATGCAAACCGGATTAAGCGCCCTTCCGAGGATCATGGCCGGCAGACACTGCAAACCACAGATGAGCGGAAGGGCTGATCTTTGGGCAGCCAATGTGGAATTCCCCTTTGTGCAACTATGGCACCAAATCAGGCAATTTGGATTTTCCTTAGGGGATGGACACTGTGCTCTGTAACTTCTCATATGAGAAATTTGGCTTATCAGGGACCAGGACACCAGGTGTTTGAGCCTTGGCCACCCAGAGGACCATAGTTGTTTCTGCTCTGTCTGCATGACTACCTAGGATAACTAGTGGGCTCCTGAGTGTGGGGCACAAATGGATTCTTTTAGCTCCAGGACTGTCCCTCTGGTGCGCTTTAGTTTGCTCCAGTCTCCACTGGATGGCTGGCACCTCCAACCCAACATATCCAAGCAGGGCTGGGTTTGTAGATAAGTGACTTCTGCAGTCACACAGGGTCCCATGACTAAAAAAGTCCTCCCCTTACTCTGCTACCACCATCTTGAAATTCTCAATAACTGTTGAGCAGGGGGTTCCACATTTTTATTTTGTACTGTCTTCCCCTGCCAATTTATGTAGTTGATTCTGTATCTGAGAGTAAAATCATCTCTCTCTGGTTTCACCTTCATCCAGTGCACCCTCGCTCAGTAAATGGAACTATCAATTAACTCTAGAAATGATTTGTTGGTCCCTCCCTCTTCCTTGCCAATCTATGTTCAATCTATCACCAGAACCTCCACATTTTTCTTCATAAACATTTCTCTAATCTACTGATTTGTCTCCATTTCCATCATCACCAGCAATGACTGTCTGGTTCAAGCTACTATCTGTTGGTAGAAGAGCTGAGGCAGGACTGGCTTGTCTGTCATAATATAAAAGAGTCTTGGGAGATGTCCGGGGTCCAGGGTCTAAAACCGCTCGTGGCCTTTGGAACACCAAGCTCTGTGCCAAAGGGTAGAAGGCTGCCCTGCTGCACCACAAATCTAAGCCCAGGGCATAAAATCCCTCGTGGCTTGGATGGAATGTGCACAGACTTGTTGGTTGCTCTCCCAGGCTCGTAAACATGCTCTCCATTATCTTGAGCAGCAGAGCATATTCTATATGTGTCAAAGAAAATGCTAAACCATCACAGCTATGCTTGATGCACCACTACCTTTCTACCCCCACATCCTCACGCCCTCACCTGTTTACCCCCACGTCCTCACCACCTGCTTCTTTGTTTGATCACCAATAAATAGTGTGGGCTCCCAGAGCTCAGGGCCTTTGCAGCCTCCATACCAGTGTTGGCCCACTGGACCCATTTTATGCACCCTTAACTTGTCTTTTCTCATTCCTTTGACTCTGCTGGACTTTGTAGCCCCCATGGCCTAGTGTTGGGTCTAATCACCCCAACACTGTCTCATCTCTCCTGGACTCCAAAATAAATGCCAAATTGTTATTCTAATATCCATTCTCTAGACCGTTCTCCACGTTGTAGCAAGAGTAATTATTTCCAAGCACCAATCTGATCATGACTCTGTTGCTACTTGAACCCTTCCATGGCTTCCCACTTTCCCTCTCTTGGTCAAATAAGGACTCATATTCTAATGTTTTCTATAACTTCCTTTATCATCTGACACTGCCTATCTCTTCTGCTTCAACTTGCGGCACTCTTCACTTTCTACTTCCCTCTGCACTCCAGCCTCATTGACTTTCTTCTTCTTTTTTTTCAAATGATCCGCATGCTCTCTCTCTCTCTTTTTTTTTTTTTAAAGAGACAGGGTCTTGCTATGTTGCCCAGGCTGTTTTTGAACTCCTAGGCTCAAGTAATCCTCTTGCCTCAGCCTCCAAGTGGCTGGGCTTACATTGCACCAGCCACTATGCCCAGTGATTTATCCCCTCTCTCTCCTATCACAGGGCCTTTGCACATTTAGTTCTCCCTTCCTGCTCTCCTCCTGTCTTCATCCTTCAGCTCTCAGCTCAGATGTTCCTTCCTTAAATGAGTTCATCATTCCCCAGTCTAGGTCAGGCCCCCTGGGTGTATCTTCTCAGAACACCTTGCTCCCACCCCTCTGTAGTATTTATGTCAGTTTGTAATTAGACATGTGGCTATGTGATCATTTGATTGACCTCTGTCTCTCCTGTGAGACTGTGACCACTTCGAGGGCAGGGCCTGTATCTGTTTTTGATGAGTGTTGTTTGCTCAGTACTCAGCATGGTTCTGGGCACATCCAAGGTTCTCACTAAATATTTGTTGGCTGACTGGGCGGCTGAGCATGTGCTTCCTAAACTTTTTGTAGTGCTACATGGCTATATGTCTGTTCTTCCATCTCTTATAAAGTAGAAGTAGAGAATGGATTCATCTGAAGAAACCACTGTCCTTACAAACTATATGCCTATACCTATTATAGCTTTTCCAGTTTTTAAAAGAATTGATCTGATTACTAATTAGTGCTCTTCCAGGCGGATGTTAACTCCTCCATGGCTGCTGGAATGTTAAAATTCTATATGGACGTCAGAAGAAGAGGGGGTCTTATCAAATTCACGTGTCTTCTTTTATAAATGGGCAAACAGAGGCCTAGAGAAGAAGACTTTCCCAGGTCCTAGAGGTAGTTAATGGCAAAGGTAGAATCTGAATGCAATTCTTTTTCAGATCAGTACCTAATTCCTTTACTCATGTAAGTATCAAATCACTCTGGGTTCTCTGGGCCTGCAGCAACAATTAGGGGCAGCTGTCTAAGATGTGTTCGGTGTGTGAGGTTGTGGTGGTAAGAAGTTGAAAGTCTGTGACAATAAGTTTCCATCCATTAAACAGTTATGAATCTATTTTGTACTCCTTGGGTACCTTAAGTTTAGGAATTGGGAATGATAGTGAGGGTGGCTTAGATATTTTTGTCTTAGGGGAAGATTTCTGCCTTGGAGTGTTTTCAGACAGAATGGTGTTTCTATTTTGTCTCTGATCCATGAGTGTCACAGTGTTATAAAGCATAGTTTGGCCTGCCTTCCCACTGCAGTACCCCTACAGGAGCAACACCTTCCAGAAACCTTATAAAAGAGAGGAGAGGGGCCAGGCGCGGTGGCTCACGCCTGTAATCCCAGCACTTTGGGAGGCCGAGATGGGCGGATCACTAGGTCAGTAGTTCAAGACCAGCCTGGCCAACATGGTGAAACCCTGTCTCTACTAAAAATACAAAAATTAGCTGGGCGTGGTGAGGCTGAGGCAGGAGAATCACTTGAATCTGGGAGGCTGAGGCTGCAGTGAGCAGAGATCGCGCCACTGTGCTCCAGCCTGGGCGACAGAGCAAGACTCTGTCTCAAAAAAAAAAAAAAAAAAAAAAAAGAAAAAAAAAGAAAAAAAAGAGAGAGAGGAGGAAGTTGAGCACTTTGCTCAGAAGGACATCATCCTGCCCATTCTGGTCCTTACCTCTAAAACGTGCCACTGACTCTCAATCCTCCCCATACTCCGTGTGTTTTGTGCATTTTGGATGCACAGCTGCATCACACATGAAGATGCAGTTGCTTCCTCCCACCCTGGATTCATGCTACTTCCACTATGACTGTCATTTACATGTGCCCCTCTTAGCTCATAGACTAAGGGAGAAGGGAAAGGGAGTGGGTGCGAGCAACTGCGTCCAGCCTTGCCCCCGGTTCCCTAAGTCAGCTGTTGGCGAACTATGTGGATCCAGGACTCTTTTACATCTTCAAAGTTATAGAGGACCCCCAAAGAGCTTTCACTTATGTGGGTTATATATACATATATATGTATATAGTTATATATACATATATATGTATATAGTTATATATACATATATATGTATATAGTTATATATACATATATATGTATATAGTTATATATACATATATATGTATATGTTATATATACATATATATGTATATGTTATATATACATATATATGTATATAGTTATATATACATATATATGTATATAGTTATATATACATATATGTGTAAACATTTATCATATTAGAAAGTAAAACTGATAAATTTTTAAAAATACCTCCTATGACATCTTTTTAAAGTCATAAACAATAATAAACCCTTACATGTTAACATGGCATTTTTAAATGAGATGTAACTATTTTCCAAACCAAAACACATTTAGTGAGAAGAGTGGCAGTGTTCTGCATTTTTTTCCAAGCATTTTTAACTCTCTGGCTTGATAGAAGCAGGATCCTCACAACTGCTCTTACATGCGGTCTGTTGTAATATGCCGTTTTAGTTGGAGCATAAGAATTTTCCCCTGGAAAAGGGAAGACCTCTCAGGGTTTCTCAGACCACCCTTAGAGAATGAATGCTGTAAGTGTTTCACAGAAATCTCTGGGTGAGGACAAGTAGGAGGAGAATGATCAAAGTGTGGCCTCAGAGGCAGGTGCAGAGGATGTACCCAAAGGGCACCTGGCTTGGGTAGACAAGGGAGAAGCCTACTGCTGTATTCTTTATTCAGAGTTTCCAAATAGCCAGGGTGGTCTTTCAGTTTAGCAGCTCCTGTGAGCCTCTCACATGTCACGGAAGCTACAGTGCCTCACAAGCGGTGTTTGTGGTTTCAAGTCAAAACCCATGGGAGTTCTGGGGTTGATTTGCCAGTGACCTGTCATTACTGTAAACCCCTTCTCCAAGGGGCCCCAGGCCTAGGACTAGGTTCTAGAGGCTGGGTGTGGTCAAGGGGCACAGAGCTGTTGGACAGGCTCTACTGCAGGCTTATTTTGGGCTCTGCTTTCTTCTTCTGCCTTTTATTCTCCTCTCTCCCTCCTCTTTAATTCTAAGGGGCATTAAAAACCCTGCTTAGTCTTTGGTAACTCTTGTGCTTTCTCAGTTTTTAGAACAACATTGAAAATAAAAACAGACATTTCCTAGCCCCACTGGCCAGAATTTGTCCAATTAAATCAATATCATTGGCTTGCCATTCTCGTCTCATCCCATGCAGATTTGCCTGGCACACACAGTAGGTGAGCTCTAAGTGCTCTGGTGAACTTAGAAATCATTTTATAAGGAGGGCACCCTTTTAGGAACTGGGTCAGACATTGTGTGGTCATATTAAAGCTCAATCCCTGGTTGCCCACCTGATTGTGGGAGACCATCTATAGAAGGAGGGGAAAAAGAAACTCCTTTTCCCAGGGTGCTGGACTAAGAACTCCAGAGGCCCTAAGTTGTCTCGACCTTCAGATGTAGTTCAAAATAGTTTAAGGAGGCCCAACAAGGTTCTGATACTCTTTTGATGATTTTAAAAGTATTCTTTTTAAGATTAAAATACTTAAAATACAAGGAATACTTTCTAAACAGTATTATTCTTTCAAGTAATTAAGGAGAATCTGTTTGTACCTTGGCTTTTGGGTGATCTGAGACTGTTCCCAGCAAGAACCTTGAATTCAGGTGCCTCAAGCAGTGGGTTGGATATAAATTGGTATCAGGTAGTCAACTGGTTTCACGAAAGCGGCTAAGGGTTGTGCACTTGAGCCTCTCTTATGTGGCAGACCTTATATACCTCTGACAGCAAAGGCTGGAAGTGCCTTCCCCACTTTGCTCAACCCCCAGCCCTACCCTGGGTCCAAGTGTTCTGTTATTGGAAACCCCAAGATGTGCTCTGTCTTTGGGCTTGTCTTTGCAGCAGAGCATGGTGGTTAAGTGTGCGGGCCCTGGAGTCGGACTGGGTTTGCAACCCAGCTCTGCCCTTTCCCATCTGTGTGACCTTGGGCAAGTTTCTGAGCCTCCCTGTGCGGCAGTATCTATATACAATTGGAGATGATAATTGGTGCTGTCGTAGTGTTGCAAGGGCGGAATGAGTGACTGTACACAATGCTTGGATGAATACTTGACATACAGCAAGTAGCCAGCCCACCTGAAGTGTAGTGGTTGATGTTTTTCCTTGGGAATACTCAGCTGCTAAAAGCTAAGTATGTCTCTTCGTGGATCTGAAGACTTGGAACAGACCAATTTCAACTCCAATATTCTGAGGATGTTACAGGGAGACAGAGAAGTCAGTCTCATAGTAGAAAGACTGACTGGCTCAGGCATTTAGGAGGCCTAGTTTCCAGCCCTGGACCTTCTACTATGAGATCCCAAACAAGTTCCTTTTCATCCCTTGGCCTTGCTTTCCGCATCAATAATCCAAGGGCTTGCCAGAGTTGTTTTTCTAAGAAGATTTCCAAAGCTAATGCCCTTAAATTTTGTGATTCCCCTATCTCTCCTCCCAGCCTGCCCCTTCTGTTCCCCTCGGCAGGAGCGAGCGAACATGAGTGGTTCTGATACATATTTTCCTTCCTTTCCAAATCCACCAGGTCAGCACAAGACCAGGCCCTGTCAGCCTCTTCTAGCTCATAGCTTCTGCCCAGCCCTGGAAGTGCCATTCTGTAAGAGAAACAAAACCTTTTCCTCCGGCAGCTTTTGCGTGTGTTCACCTGTATTTCCTTCTCGCAATCCTGGCCCCCAGCACTTTGAGGTTGCAGTTTCGTTGTGAGTCAGGCCTGCTGAGAGCAGTGGAAATCAGAAGAGCCTCCACTTGGTAGGGGAGGACGTGATGCTGCCTTTTCCTCAAGAGCATGGCCCCGGGGGCGGCGGGGGTGTGGAAGGGAGGTGGTCACCTTCCGGAAGTGGATTTCTCACATTGACTGTTTCAGGGAGAAAAGAAGATTACTGGAAAGCCCTAGAAAGCGCTTCACATCTCTTTCAGAAAGAACTTTGCGTTCTCAAGCAATTATCTGCACCACGCAGTAAAATGTCTGTGTTGCGTTGATGCCTGCGCGACGCAGGCCTATGCCGAGGAGGAAGTGTTGTTGGTGTACTTGGCTCCTGACGTGGGACTCAGATAATAAATTCCCTTGAGAGAGGTGACCATGGGATCCTGGATTCCCGTGGCAGAGCACAGTGAGGCCAGTCTGGGTGCTGGTTCAGTCCCAGGAGTTGCCAGCTGCTACGGGCTTTGAAGTATTAAAGTCCCCCAATGCCTCCATTGTATCCCATGGGAAAAGGCGAGCAGGCAGGGAGGAATGGCCAGTGCTAGAAACAGGATATCTGACCCCTGTGAAAACCACTGTGGATGAATACTCGGGTCATGCAGGCTCTGGATCAGCAGATTCTTGGATCCTTGAAGGAGGGTCCATGCAGGTAGACTTCAGGTAGACTGAAGACCCATGGAACACAAACATATATATAATGCAAAAGAACACATACACCACCCCCAATTTAGAAGTGCCTGTTTTCTATGGACTTGAGTGGCAACCATTGGCACTTCCTTAACCGTGCTTGTGAGAAATCCTTTACGAAATCACCAGCAACTTCTAGAGAGTCAGGAGGTCAAATACAGTGGTGGGAAAGAAGCCATGAAAATAACACTGAAATCCCTGGGTGGTTCTAATCCTGGAAGCTGAGTTCCTGTGGGGCTGATCTGTGAGCTGGGACAGGTGGGGAGGAGAGTAGGTCATCTGGGAGCATGTGGTTAAGCAGAGCAGAAGGTTAGCATTTCAATGGAGGGCTTACAGCCCCTCAGAGGGGAAAGTGCAGAGGGACCTCCAGAGAGGGCAGCCAGGGAGAGGGAGCAGAGTGTGACAGAAGTTGACCCAAGACGACCTCGACTATTTCAGATGTTGCCTGAGGCTGTTCATATGTCCAGTAGGAGAAAGAAGCTGTCCTTTGTAAATCTCATAGACCCCCAGCTCCCAAGAACCTGAACTAAGTTTGGTCCTATTTATAGTGTAACCCCTGCTTTGTAGGCTGTGAATGAATCAACATTTATAAGTAGAGTTTCTACAGAGATGTTGCTCCAGTTTCCAAAAAAGTGACTTACAGACATCTGTACAAAATTGGAAAGCTACCTGCACCGAAGTGTATAAACATATATCTGGTCAAAGGGGTCACAGGATGTAAACTGTGTGTTAGGGAGGGGTGGTGACGGGGACTTGGGGTGGGGAAGTGAAAGGGGAGGGATATAGGACATCCTTAGAGGGTATCATGAGCAAGCTGGCCTCACCAAAGCTCTGCCATTGGAATCCAGAATCCCATGTACATCTTTACCAAAGATACCCTATCATATCTGTAAGATGGAAAACATAATGATACTTACCTGCTGGCTATGAGAAAAAAATGGGAAAAATGCTTGTCATAGTGCACGGTTTATAGCAAGCACTCAATGACTTTTACCTGACAAGCCATTGCTTACTCTGCAATGACTGTAACTGTACTGAGACTACTACAGCTACTACGGCCAGTACTATCACGACAGCTATGACTGTTGATATCACCACAATTTCTCTTTCTCTTCTGGGCTTCCTGAAATGACTGAACATCCAAAGATTGGTGCAAGTGGAGGGAGAGTTAGTGTCCCCACAGTCCTTTCTGTGTGAGTGAGGGTTGGCTGGGGACTACAAGGCAAGGTTCTTGGTGGAGTGGGAAGCAGGAGCTTCTGGTCACTGTGACCATAGCTGGGGCTGCTGTTTCATTTCAGGTAAAATCAGAGGGCTTTAGAGTAAACAGGAGGGGAGGAGGAGAGACTGAGTTGCAGCAGCCCACGTTGAGCCAGAACTTGCTTCTCTATTGGCTGCAGTGGTGGGAAAATTGAGGTTGAGGCTGCTATTGCCACTGTAACCAAGGTGCGGGCCTGTGGAAATGGTGCAAGGGATGCTGAGCTCTTCATATTGACCTCACCCTTCTCCCCAGTACTTCCCAGCCTAGCTGAGCTAAAGGCCACATGGAGGTTTATTCAGCTGTAGTTACTGCCATCAACATTCTGAGAACAACAAATTAACATGTTAAATTCTGCTCTCCAGCCCCCAAGCCACCGGAGAACAGAACGCATTCTTAAAGTCTTAGTTTTTCCAAACCACCAAGCCAGGTTCACTTTTCAAAGCACTCATTTTATCAGCAAAACTCCACTCTCACAAAGCCCAGGGCTTTCAGAACACAGCCCAACCTAGCTTGACATTTGCACTCCCAAATGCCTTCACAGCTTTCCTTCCCACAGGTTCTCTCCACAAGATCTCTGACCAAAACACGGGGGCTCTCACTATTGTCAGAATATGCCCTGTGCTCTCCCACGTCCTTACTTCCACTCATGGCTTCACTGGCCTGCAATGACCACCCTTCCTTTTCACCAACAGAATTCTTTCAATTCAGCACTGCCTCTTCCATGAGCCTTCCTTTAACAACCTGACTCCACTGAGATTTCATTTTTAAAAAAATCCTCCAGTGCTTATGACCATCCTTGGCAGTACTTTGTGTACCCTGCCTTAGAGTTGTGAGATGTCTTTGCCTGCATGGATGCATGTGTGCACATATGCATATGTGTGGGTGTATTGTGTGTATTTCATCCCTGTGGACTGGACACATGTTTTATATATGCCAGAGATAGAGAGGAGATGCAGTCTAGCTTGGTGTGAATATTTTGCTCATTTTGACTAAGGCACAGGTTTACGATTCTCAAATGGTAAAGACCTAGGTCCGGGAAAAGGAGGCCTGGGTTTCGGTCTTTCTTCTGTGTGACTGTGGAGATGTCTTCCACCTTCAATGAGTCTTGATTTCTGTCTCTGTGAAATGGAGAGACTCCTCAGTTCTTTCTCCTGCTTTACAGAGGATCAAAGAGATTTGTCAATAGGTTGAAATACTTTAAAGCCATAAAATAGCTAAATACATGAAAGAGCCCCTCTGTGGTCTTGTCTTTGACTCAAGAAGGGAGGCTCTGGTGGCTTTTCTCAGAACCAGCAGTAGGACTAGGATCCAGGAGTTTCTCCTCTCCAGCCATGCCACATACCACCAAGCTACACAATCTTTTCCTGGGCTGCGTTATCCTTTCCACTGCACCATGTGGTGCAGCCCCATCAGGTCTCGCTTTCCTTTCCACCAGCCACATTCATAGCCATGGGAATCCGTGTTTTTCAGCAAGCTTCCTTCTAAAATCCCCCTCTGCCCAGAGTTCCTGGGGACCCTGTGGACCTTCCTTCCTTGTGACATGGTTGGGGAAACACACTGGTCTGCAGACCTCTTATTCATCTTCACGATCCCGGAGGTGGCTTGAGCAATCTTATCTGTTGTGTGAGTGTGCTCACATGTGTGTGCGTGTGTGACTCTTTGCAGCTGTTCTATGACTAACTGATGCCAGCTATCTGATACTGTATACTGTGTGCCCACCATATGCTATAGACTAAGACATGTCCTGACCCAAGCCCTAGACCCCAAGCAAGGCCAATGGCAAACTACTACCTGTCTTAGTTGGTTTCCCCTATTGCTCTTTGATGTCTTACTATATACAAGACACTTCATATTGTTTCATTTTAAGTTTTACAACAATCTAAAGATTTGATCCAATCATTGAATCTATTTTATAGTAGCGCAAAATAAGGCTCAAGTCTCCTGATAATCAGTTCATTCCTTTACCCATATCTCCATGCAGAGACAAATAATGTGACGCTAATAATTAACTTTTTTTTTTTATCTCAAGAGCTTTAGAGGTACAAGTGATTTTTGGTTACATGGATGAACTGTACAGTGGTGAAATCTAGGATTTTAGTGCGCCTCATCCAGGCCTCTGACACCTCATCCCCTTCCCTCATTGCCCCTCACTGCCCCAGGACCAGATTAGTTGAGGCAGAAGCAGTTGGAGGTGCTAGAAAAGCATTAGGGTTTTCACCATCTCCAGAATCTGCTTAGCACATGTCTCAACCTAAGGCAGTGCAGGCAGGATGGAGGCAAGAGCCTTGATTCCATAGCGGTTTCTCTTAGCACAGATTCCAGAAAGTTGAGGATGACATGATAGATGACCCTTGATATCTTTCTTCATTCCTTTTTGCTAAGTTATTCTCTGTTGTGTGGTGCCTGTGTGTGTAAGGCATTTCTAGGCAGAGGAGCTTTCCTGGGTCTGGTCAGTTTTACCATCTCATCTGCTGATCAAGATATAAAAGATGGACAGTGTCTGTTGTTTCCACCAATAATCAGATACCAGTCAGAATGCTAGAGTGACCTTTTCCTTTTCCGCCTTGGAAAGAAAGAGATTGTTTCAAGGAACAGCTGTAGGGTTAGATAGAGAGGACTGACTGGAAAGTGATTTGATGATCTGAAGTCCTGGCATTCCATGAAGGTTGCTCTGGGCTTATAGTACAGTACGAGAGATCTTTGTTGAACTGAAGAAGATGCTCTGACCATTAGGGTCATTAGACACTATGGAACCTTCTCACTGAAGTTCCCTTTTTGGAAACTACTAAACATTGTACCCAACAGGTAATTTTAAATCCCTTATCCCCTGCCCTTCTGAGGATCCAGTGACCATTATACCACCCCTTATGCCTTTGTGAATCCATAGCTTAGCTCCCACTTGTAAGTGAGAACATGGGTGTTTGGTTTTTGATTCCTGAGTTATATCACCTAGAATAATGGCCTCCAGTTCCATCCAAGTTGCTGCAAAGGACATTATTTTATACTTTTTTATGGCTGAGTGGTACTCCATGGTGTATATATGCCATATTTTCTTTTTTTATGTTTCAGTAGTTTTTTTCGACTTTTAAGCTCGGGATGCATGTGCAGGTTTGTTACATAGGTAACCTTGTGTCATGGGGGTTTGTTGTCTTACTAATAACTAATGGGTATTAAGCCTAGTACCCATTAATTATTTTTCCTGATCCTTTCCCTCCTCCCACCCTCCAATAGGCCCAGTGTATGTTGTTCCCCTCTATGTGTCCATGTGTTCTCATCAATGAGCTCCGACTTACAAGTGAGAACATGTGGCATTTGGTTTTCTGTTCCTGTGTTAGTTTGCTAAGGATAATGGCCTTCAGCTCCTTTCATGTCCCTGCAAAGGATATGATCTCATTCTTTTTTCACTAATTTGTTGGTGGACACTTAGGTTAGTTCCATATCTTTCCAATTGTGAATTGTGCTGCAGTAAACATATATGTGCAGTTAGTTGTCTTTTTGATATATATAGTGACTTCTTTTCCTTTAAGTAGATACCCAGTAGTGGGATTGCAGGATTGAGTGGTAAATGTGCTTTTAGTTTTTTGAAAAATCTCCATACTCTTTTCCATAAAGGTTGTACTAATATACATTCCTACCAGCAGTGTATAAGCGTTCCCTTTTCACCACTTCCACACCGGCATCTATTGTTTCTTGACTTTTTAATAATGGCCTTTCTGGCTGGGGTAAGGTGGTATCTCATTGTGGTTCTTCCAATAATTTTTAAAAGGCTGAAAAATGTCATCAGGGCACGGTCCTCTCATTGTGCCATCCTCTCAGTATCCCAGAAAAAAAACTGAGCCCCATGGCACGTTCTGTTTCTGTCTCTGATTGTGGCCTGCTTATGGTCATTCCTTCCCCGTCTACTGCAGGGGAAGGAAAATACCCAGCACCTCCCAGGTAGAAAAAGAGGGAAAAAATGTAAAATGTAAAAACCCAAGCTCGGCAACTATAGAAGATAAACAACGTTGAGTCTCAGTATGGTTCATCGGCAGAATTTTCCCCAGAGCCAACGGCCTGTGTCAGAGCTATATTTTCCACTCCGGCTACTGTGATTTGGTTGTGGCACTCTTGGTTTCTTTCATTTTGGTGGAGACAGACTCTGACGCAAGTTTAAGGCTCTGGCAGGTGTCTGGGGGTTTACGAACTTGTCCGGGCCTCTGACACCTCATCCCCTTCCCCCATTGCCCCCCACTGCCCAGGACCAGATTAGCGGAGGCAGAAGCAGTTAGAGGTGCTGGAAAGTTGTTAGGGTTTTCACCATCTCCAGAATCTGCTTAGCACATGCCTCAACCTAAGGCAGTGCAGGCAGGACGCAGGCAAGAGCCTCAATTCCATAGGGGTTTCTTTTAGCACAGATTCCAGAAAGTTGAGGATGACATGATAGATGACCTTTGATATCTTTCTTCATTCTTTTTTGCTAAGTTATTCTCTGTTGTGTGGTGCCTGTGTGTGTAAGGCATTTCTAGGCAGAGGGGCTTTCCCACATCTGGTCAGTTTTACCACCTCATTTGCTGATCAAGATACGAAGATGGACCGTGTATGTTGTATCCACCAATAAACAGATACCAGTCAGAATGCCAGAGTGAACTTTTCCTTTTCCTTCTTGGTAAGAAAGAGATTGTTTCAAGGGACAACTGTAGAGTTAGACAGAGAGGACTAATTGGAAAGTCATTTGTTCATTATCAGGATGGAGCTGGGCAAATTCCCAGCAGCTCTGCTGCTGGGTATGACCAGGAGGTCCTTAGGTTTTTTTTTTTTTTTTTTTAGATGGAGTTTCGGTCTTGTTGACCAGGCTGGAGTACAATGGCATGATCTTGGCTCACTGCAACCTCCACCTCCTGGGTTCAAGCGGTTCTTCTGCCTCAGCCTCCTGAGAAGCTGGGATCACAGGCGCCGGCCATCATGCCCAGCTAATTTTTGTATTTTTAGTAGAGATGGGGTTTCACCATGTTGGCCAGGCTGGTCTCGAACTCCTGGCCTCAAGTGATCTGCCCGCCTTGGCCTCCCAAAGTGCTGGGATTACAGGCATGAGCCACCATGCCCAGTCCCTATGTTTTGACTTTGGCTGTCTGCACACTGTGCTCAGTCCCAAAGCTTCCTGTGCCCCATGCCCAGCCCCAGTGGCCTCTCACTAGCGTTTTGGCTTTCAAAGCCTCAGTGTGGTTTCCTTCACCAAAACTTCACCCTCATCAGAGGCTCCTTTCTCCTCCCCCTGTAAAAGCCCCGTTTTCTTAAAGGTAACTGGCCAACTGAACACTTTTAAAAATAGGTTGTAACTGCACCTCTCACCATCCCAGAAAAAGACTTGTAGTTTTCACTGGTAATATCCCAGACAGGGTGTCTAAGTAAATTGGAATGTTCCTGGTCCTGTGCATGTGTGTGTGTGTGTGCATTTAACTGTGGGTGGGGAGGCCCTGGGTCTTCCCAGGCTGGTTGGATTTATCATCTCTTCTGCCTTTCCCAACATTTAAGATGGGCAGTGCCACTCACGGGCAGATGCCCACTTCTCTGGAATTGCCCCATCCTGGTAATATTTGTGGCTTCTGAAGGCTGAGTCTGAGATGCCTTCTCTTGGTTCCAAGATTCTGAGAAAGCCTGGGGAACAGCATAAAAATTCCACCCTGGAAATAGTATACAAGCAAACCAACTGCCCACCCACTTCCTGAGTGAACATTGCTGAGTGTTCCTGAGTCAGGGGCAGACCTAAATTCCTTAACCATCTTTTTCTTCCCTTTCCCAACCTGGCACGGCCTCATACCCCTCTGCCCCTCCATTAAAGGCTGTATTTATGAGCAGTGATGGATGCTCCCTGACAGGGCCACCCTAGAAAAAATTGTGTAATGACAAAAACATGATGCTCTGATTGACCCTTTGTGGTTTAGTACATTCACAATCCCCCCACCCCGCCTTTTTTTTTCTGAGATGGAGTCTTGCTCTGTCGCACATGCTGGGGTGGAATTGCATGATCTTGGCTCACTGCAAACTCCGCTTCCTGGGTTCAAGTGATTCTCCTGCCTCAGCCTCCCGAGTAGCTGGGATTAGAGGTGCATGCCACCACGCCCAGCTAATTTTTGTATTTTTAGTAGAGACAGGGTTTCACCATGTTGGCCAGGATGGTCTCGATCTCCTGACCTCATGATCCACCCGCCTCAGCCTCCTAAAGTGCTGGGATTACGGAAGTGAGCCACTATGCCTGGCTAGATGTATGTACCTCTCTTAAGCCCATCTTATAGGTGAGGAATCTGAGTTCAGAGAGGTAATGTGCCCAATCCAAGCCTACACAGCTGATAAGTGTCAGAACCAGGATTGAATCCTGGGCAGTGTGGCTGCAGAGGCCACACTCTGCTGTCCCTTAACAGAGCTATGGGGAACTAATTGGCATATAATTAGCTGAAATGAAGTACTTCGTGGTGCCTGGCACAAAGGTACCACAATAAATATTAGTTCCCTTGCCCCAAGAATGGTTTGCATTTTAATGACTGTGGAATGAAGGGCTTTCAGGATCCATTAGAGTTAGAAGGATTTGCATCTGAGTGCATGAATGCGCTTGTGGGACACCCACGCAAGCCACTGACAATCCTCAGGGTTGGTCAGCCCCATCCTCAGAGGTTTATACCTGGAGCTAAATCCCGACGGGGACTTCTGCCGATGACTTTTATAGCTTCTGACATTTCAGTCTCTTCATCTCAGGGAGCTGGTTCTCTGAGGACTTTGGGGGTAACAGTTTTAAAAATAATGTAAGGCAGCTGGTGATGGCTGCTTTAGGGGCAGCACGTGAGCTGGGCCCCAGGAGGGGAAAGCCATGAATCAGGGGTCATGTAGCAAGACAGGGCTTTCCTACGGGCTGGATTTGGTCAGCATGGGCCCCTGGTTCCCTTGAGGGATTCCCCGACTGTGCGGCCTGGCAGTCGTGCTCTGATCGAATGCCTCCGATTCCCCCAGCCGGCCTGACTCACCCTGCATCGCTCAGACCTCTGTCAAGGTGCTGCTCGGAGAGTCAAAGAGGCTGCAGCAGGCAATCCCCTTGCCCACTGCAAGGCTGGTTGGGAGGCTGAACAAAATGGCACATCCTCTCAAGTCCAGAAAGGTTGGGCCTTCCTTTCACCCTCCATTTTATGCCTGGAACCTCAAACAACAGAAAAAAACACGAGGCAGAAAAAAATAATTATAATAATTATTAATGCTTTCTGAACCTCTAACGCCACTCGATTAGTCACAGTCATAGTTCGAGTGCTTGTTATGATAACACCTCGGTGGCTTCCTTAACTGTTGGTAGTGATTAATGGCATCATCTGGTCGAAGGGCTAGGGAGGAGTGTGCCTGTTGACAAGAAAGAGGGGCTGAGTAGCAGGGGAAGGAGAGTGGGGACAGGGAGGTGTGGGTGGAAGCCTGGGCTAAGGCTAGCGTTACAGCACCTGAGTCAAGAGGGCAGATCCCTAAGTTAGAGACCACCACTTAATGTTCCAAAGACATCTAGGGACTCCTGGGTCATGGCTCTTCAGGTGGTGGATGGGCAATGTTCTCTAGTACCTTGGACACCATGGCCAGGCCAATCTCATTTCATCACCATCACCTTCAAGTTATTCCCCAGTTTGGTCATTGGGAGAGACTTCTCATTGGCCACCAGAACAACTCTAAATTCATATGAACCTTTCAGTTTCCCCACCTGCAACTTGGAAATAAAGATACTGCTGCTCTTATTGGGAGGATAAAATGAAATAACAGATGGAAAGTTCCTGGCACGGCATACAGTAGGCACTCAATGCGTGGTGGTTTATTTCACTCTATTTCTGTCTACGGTCCGTCACATCTTACACTTCATTGTCTGTCACCTGTTCCATGACTCCTGCCCTGCCTCCCACACATTCACTGATTCCCATGACCCCGTGTCCCTCCTTTGTGAAGCCTCTTCCCACTGTTCCAGCTCACGTCGACACCCCCTCTCTGAGCTCTTATACTATGGTTGGCCCCGGGTCCTCCTGTTGGGTCCTCCCTACTTGTAGCATGGGTGTAAGTTTCATCTTCTCACGTAGATTTTAGCTTCTCAAGTTCAGGAACTGGGCTCATTGCTTCTTTTGATTCTCATGCCTGACAAGTCACAAGGTGAGCAATAGGTTCTTTAGAAGAGACCTGCGAGGTGGGTAGGGGTGGGTGTGTGGCAATGGAAAGTTACCCAAAGTAATGGGGAAACCATCTGGGGCACTTCTGTTTGGGGATTTCCCTGGACCACATTTTGTGACCTGTACCAAGCCCGGTGCTTTGTCAAGCTGGAATCCTGCTATGCTCCCCACTTTCCATACCTATTTCTGCCCATGGCACTCATGTGAATTGGCAAAAGTGCTGTGGGATGGAAAATATTGGAATCTCAGGGAAAAGGGTCAGTGAGTGCATCCTTCAGGGCAGGATGTGGGGTCCCAAAACTGCTTTGTGCCTGGCAGATCACCCAAACACTTCCTCCATTTCCCCATGCCAGCTAAAGCAACCTTGGCTGTTATGCTCTGGCCCAGGTGTCTTTCAGGGCCTTTCATTCTCCACACAAAAAGCTTAGGCATAGGGGCCAGTCTAGATCCAGACACAAGGGCCAGCTGGAGAATTGGGAAGTACAGTAACACCTGGCCACCAAGGCTGGTACAGTTCAGCCTGACAACAGTCTGAGGGCAGTAGTCTGTTGTGAAAGGGGACAGATATGTCACCTTGAAGCTGCAGCACTTTTCTAGACCAAGCCCACCTTCTTGAACATTTCAGTCTCTTTGCATCCAGCTGGGTGTATTCTGTCATATACACAAGTTGCCTTTGGCTCTGAGGCTGCTTTATAAGAACTAGTCCTGGATGGTGTTTGGTCAGGGATGAGGTTTGAGTTTGCTCAGCCCAAGCAGGTATGCTTAAATTACTCTCAGATTGGATGCCTCAAGAGCCTGGCCTACTCCTCTCCTACTGACCATCTGTTTTCTACTCAACCCAAGCCAACTCACCATTTGACTCCTTCCCACACCTTTAGGATTGTGAACTGTAGAATGCTGGAGTTGGAAGGAGCTGTAGAGACTAGCTAGTCTACCTTCTTCCTCATTCTATGGATGGGCAGACAGACCCAAGACTTGGGGCGATTTGCTATGAGCTTCTTACAGCCTCTGCATACTACACATGGATAACTGTTTACCTTCCTGCTCCTGGATCAGAGCCTGCCCTCAAGTTATCCCCCATAGCCCACTCTTGTTCCATCAGTTGTGTCTGAATCAAAGACTCCCTTCTTTTTATTCCTTCTATTAACAGCCTTAAAACTCACCTTCCCCAAGAAGAAGCCTTCTTTGATTAATTCAGTTCATTTTTGTATGAGGATTTTCCAGAGAAACAGAACCAATATAAATATATATATGTGTGTGTGTGTGTGTGTGTGTGTGTGTGTGTATGATTTATTATAAGGTATAAGGTATGGCTCACATGATTATGGAGGCTGAGAAGCCCCATGATCACCTGTCTGCAGCTGGAGACCCAGGAAAGCCGATGGTATAGTTCGAAGGCCAGTTGGAGAGTCCCATGGTCTAGATTCTAGTTCAGGTCTGAAGGCCTAAGAACCAGAAGCTCCCAGGCAGGAGAAGATGGATGTTTCAGTCCAAGCAGTCAGGCAGAAAAGGGGAATTCTCCTTTCCCCTACTTTTTTGTTCTACTGTTACGCTTTGTAGATCAGACCATGCCCACTTACACTGGCAGGGGCAATCTGCTTCACTCGGTCCACAACTTCAAATGCTAATCTCTTCCAGAAACATTCTCACAGGCACACCCAGAAATCATGCTTAACCAGACATCTGGAAATCCTGTGATTCAGTCAGGTTGACCATAAATTAGCCATCACAATCCTCCATTCTTTACGAGGCTGGTGGCTTGTACTATGTTAATTTTCACTTACCATTGTTTTTCCCCCATGAGTTCCTGTAGGATTACAGCCATACACCAAGTAATGGTGTCTGTCAATAATGGACCACATATATGATGGTGGTCTCATAAGATTATGATGCTGTATTTTACTATACCTTTTCTATGTTTAGATATGTTTAGATACACAAATAACCTACCATCATGTTACAATTGTCTGCAATATTCAGTACAGCATCATGCTGTACAGGTTTGTAGCCTAGGAGCAATAGGCCTTACTGTATGGCCTATCTTATTGTGTAAATACACTCTATGATGTTTGCACAATGACAAAACCTCCTAATAAGGCATCTCCCAGAACATATCCCCACCGTTAAGTGACACATGACTGTATTTTAATGTGTTCTATATCACCTTCATTAGTCTGGCAGCTTCCTCCACCATTCTGGGAGGCCCAGACAGTAATGGCTGTCTTGTGATCTTTGTCTGGATTCTCACCCTTTGTCCAGCCCAGGACTACAGACTCAGGGATGTTCACAGCCCAGTAAATGGGAAGTATTGCTCGAAAACCGGATCACAAAGCCTCCTTGTGCTGAGGCTGGGGTAAGACTTGGAGGAAGAAGAACCTTCCCTGACTCCTTCGCTGGGGTCAGCCTCTAAGGGTCAGGGCTCACTCCCTGCAGTGTAGAGACTTTGCTGCGGGACAGGATGTGAACATCCTTGGCTTTTGCATGGTCAAGTTAAGTCACTTGTCCGGGGTCATAGTGACACAATCATTGCCAAACCTGTTCATTTCACCAGGGCCCCATGGGATTTTGCCAAGTCAGTCCTCCTTTGTACTTTCTTGCTCAACTGGTGTAGAATTCTCAGGCAGGAAGGGAATTCATGGCGGAGGGTGGGGTGAGGTGGAGGTCATGTCGTACATCCTCCTAAGCAGACACATGGACGTCAGAGGCACCAGAGGGTTTCCACATTGACCTGCAGTCACCCATTTACACATCCCCCACCTCCGAGAGTTCAGGTATTCTTGCAAATGTCTCCATTTCTGCTACTGTAGCTTATCCTGAGCCCTTTACTGTTTTTCCTGGAAAACAAGAAAATGTTTGGGAATTTGTATATTGGGAATGGGCAGGTGTCTACATTCATTTGCTTTAAAAAATTATTTGAAACATTGCCCTTTAAATGGAAAAATCATTTTCCTGATCTTTTTTCTCAAGGACATTTCCTGCTGCCTCCTCCAGACCTACTCTTATCACTCACAAACCCTAGAGGTTCCGTGGCCAAAGGAGGACAGCAGCTGGCCATTTCAGACTATGTCCCCACAGGGATCAGGACTCCCTGGGACATGATGGGAGTCTGGAGAAGGTGTCGTGGTTGGCAGGAAGTGCCACATTCAGGGATATTGACTTCTGGCTCTTTCTCCACGTGACTATGAGATGAAGCAATTTCTGAAGAGGGTTAAGATAAAAACCTTAGATGTCATCCAACCTAATCCCTGATTTTACAGGCAGAAGAAGTGGATTTCAGAGCTAGCTAGTGGCAGAGCCGTGACTCACAGGCCACAGACCTCCTGACAGGCAGTCCTTTCTCAGAGAGCCCAGCACCTTCTGTGTTTGGTTGTGTTGAGGTGGAGTTGAAGGAGGAAGCATGGCACACCTGCTGTAGGTCATGGGGACAGATGACATTCCCCAGACCTCTTGCTGCCTAGTTCCTCTTTTAATTTTTTTTGAGATGGGGTCTCACTATATTGCCCAGGCTGGAGTGCAATGGCTCTTCATTCATAGGTGCGATCATAGTGCACTGCAGCTGCCTAGTTCACATTCTTCACCTGGCCCGTTGTTCCATCCAGTCTTGACCTCGCTAGCCTGCAGGGGGCGTGTGCAAGCCCACACTACAGCCCAGGCATCCCCTCTGCAAGGGAAGTGGTGCTGTTGTGGACCTGCAGTCCTTGGGGGGCTTCAATTTGTATAGAAATGACAAGGACAGAGCAAAGGAAAGTGGGATTTAATTTTAAGCGCCCACCTTCCCACCCCCAAGTCAATTTCCTGTGACGCTAATAAAAGCTTCAGGATCTCTTACTTTCATTAGTCCTTTCCACAGCCAAAGTAATTATATACACATTTTTTTTTCTTAAAAGACAGTTCTCCCTCCCATTATATATGCCTCTGGGCCCCATAAAATCTGGCCACCCTCTTCCCCGACCCGATTTACCAAATGTCAGAGTCCCACAGCGCACCGAGAAACACCACTGTCCTCCTGGAGCTCTCCCACACAATACAGGCCTTGACTGAGGGTGTGATTCGGTTCAGAGTAGCTGGGTTGAATTTTTGTAAAGAGGTTGCCGTGTGTGCACTTTTGCCGACCTCAAAGCCACCAGAAGGAGGGAGCTGAGTGTACCTTTTTGTAATGATGACTCTCTATGATTTTCTCCATAGAGCGGTGCTTGCACACACTGACAGGAGTCCAAGAATGTGCACTGAGGGAGCGTTTCCGCACAGATCTGCGTGTTCCTTACCACTCACACATGTGCACACACATATCCATGTGTGTGTGCCAGTGCTTTGGGGCTCTGTTCCACGGGGTAAGTAATTTCTGCTATAGGGACCCTGGATGTGGAGCCATTCTCTGGGACCAGAGATATCCAGTTTATTTCAAGACTCTGGAAGACTGGGTTTTCAGACACCTATGAACTGACAGGACTGCCTTTGTCTGTCATAAAGTTCCTTATTGCCAGACTGCTGGCCAGGTTTAGGGGAGAAGGGGGGGTCACCATACTGGAGATGCTGAGGGTGAGTGAGGGAGTGTAGGGTGGAAAGGCAGACAAATAAACCATATCTGCATACCCCTTCCCCATCAGCTCCCATACTGGTCATGGCCCATTTCTTCACACAACAAGAGTCTTCACCAAGGTTGCTAGCTGCAATGGTACAGTCCAGCTAGCTGCAGCAAAAAGGGGGAATTTACTGTAAGGAGCCTGGGGTGTCTCAGAATATCCATGGGATGGAAGCTGCTGCACGACACAGAGGGACTGGAACCAGGAGCAGAAGTCATCAGAAAGCCAGAACTCAGCTTCTCGCTCTCTGAGGCCACGTAGTCACTCCTTTCTGCTTTTCTTGGCAGCTTTCTCTGCATCTCTGAGCAGTTTGCAGAGGACTGCAACTGCACAGCTCTAGAGGCTACCAGTCTTTAATTCAAGGGACCAGCCAAGACTGACTAGTGCTCTAAAGTCCCAAGACCAAATTACTGGGAGACAGAGACTAACAGAACAGCTTAGGTCAGTTGTCCACTTTCCAATCAGCTATAGCCAGGAGACCAGGGTCACATGGCTGCCTGTGGACCAAGGTCAGGGTGGAAAACATCATCAATGGTGTCCCAAGTTAAATGGCTTGTCCTCTGTGAAGACCCTCTGATCAATCCTATGGAGGAAGTGACCTCTCTCCTGAATACCCACAGCACTTTCTCTTCTTGACATGTATTGCTTTCTATCTTGTGTACTATTATTTTTACAAACATCTCATCCCCTCTCCCACTTATCTATAAGCAAGTTTGTTTATCTCCATATATTTCACAGCTTGCACAAAAAAAGATATATTTAATAATTATCCAAAGTCATTGATAATCTTCAGATAAATCAATTTTCAGGAACTTAAGCAACTTGGCCAAGTGTTTCATTTCACTGAATTGTCCAGGCTTGATTAAATGCAATTAATTCAACCAATTTTTATTGAGTGCCTTCTACACACCAGACTGCTGAGGACACAACACTGAACAAGACAAAGTCCATACCCCATTGAGCTTCCAGTGTAGTGGTGAAGACCATCAATCAGTCAACACCGTTTCCTCTAAACTAGGCTTTCAGCTGGGTGCCAAGGATAGAAATGTGTAAGTCTCCAGCATTGCCCTGGAGGAGTTGTCTCCCTGGGGCAGGGCAGTGGTGGTGGGGTAGGGGGGAAGGTCACAGATGAATGCTCCGATATGTTGCTGTGCAACATGACAGTATTATTAGTTAAGGGTTGGGGAGGAAGTGCCGTAAGACCCCAAAGAGAGAGTGATTTACCACCTGGAGGAGGAGGGTGTGGTCAAGGGAGGTTTTGCTAAGAACAGTGACACATGACTGAACTTGAAGGGTGAATAGGAGTTTGCCAGGGAGAGTGGGAGTTGAGTATGTGAGTGTGCATGTGTTTAGGAAACCGGGATGGGGAAAGGAGACAGGAATGATGGTGATCAAGCCCTTCCAGATGAAGTCATTTATCTGGAAAAAGATTTTAGGCATTGTGAAAGAGCTGCTGTGTCTGGAGGAAGGTGAGACATTTAGTATATCTGGAACACAAAAAATATGGGGAAAAGAATGGGGAGATTGGCCCTGGCCCCTCCTGGCCGTGTGTGTTAAGTCCGGGAGGCAGTGGGTAAGTAGCCACTGCCAATTGCCTTGGGGTCTGGAAGGCAATGATGTTGGCTGGGCATGAGGACCAGGCACAGCCTGGAGACCAACCACCTCTGGCCAGAAACATATTCCAGAAGGCCTTAGGATGAGACATTACTCCTGCCTGTGGTCGTTGACCTCTGGCTTATGGAGCGAGATGGCTGCATGCTGAGATTCTGGTGAAATTTGTCACTCCCAAATTGCAACCTTCCTCAGAAAGCACTGGATCTTCTAACTTTCACTCTCTCCCTAGTAGAGTGGGATTTTCTAAATTTTGCAATTGAATTTAAGAAATCAAAGAAAGTTGTCCATTCGTAGTTTAAAAAAAAAAAAAAACCACAGATGTCTGCCTCCAGACCCCTGTGTCCTTTGAATTACAAGCCTGTAGCCCATGGCCTTCTAGCCAATGATATGAGTGGGACTAGAGATGAGGGATTTCCATGGACTGCTCCTGCTCTGGAATGTTCCTTGGAGATGACAGATCTGCTCTCCACTGTCCTCATGTGCCTGGAGGCGGGGGGTGGAATGGAGGCAACTTCCTGGACCTTTCCCTGGCCAGACTCAAGGCCATTGGCACCTGGTCCTTGTCTCTTTCCAGCTCTGTCTCTGTGCCCTCCCCATTCCTGGTCAGCCTCCAGCACTGTTGGCCCAACTGCCTATCTCAGACCTCTATGGCTCTGGGTCAGTCTTAGACAAACTACTCCCTCTTCTCTCCCTGTCAAGCATCACTTATCCTTCCGGTCAAAGTTCTGTGTCTCTATAAAGGCTTCTCCATCCCACCTGAGTCAGACCCAAGAGCTCCCTCTTCTGTGCTGTCCCAGCACTTTTGAGTCACTTCTATTATTACCCCCACTTCCTTGGAGGACAGTTATCTGTTCTTATGTTCATATTGTTCTTATGTTCTTAAGTAGACTGAATTTCTTGGGGACTAGACCTTAATCATCTCTATATCCCTGGTCATGAGCAACAGTGCCTGACACATCACAGACTCACAATACATACTCTGTTTGTCAATGAAGGGTGATTACCTGGGTATCTTGACTGTTGGGATTGAGGTAGGATGAAGGCAGCTTTGGGAAGAACTCCAGTGAGCAGAAAAAGGGAAGGGACATTTGGGTGGAAGAAACAGTTTGAACGAAGGCACCTCCATAGAAAGGCATGGACAAACATGGGAGCTTGCAGGAAAGGAGGGGAAGGGGAGGCTGCAGCACAGGGGGCTCCCAGCATGGTCCTGGGCTCCTTGTGTGCATCAGTGAATGCACCAGGCCTTTGCAGAAACTTGATGTATTGGCACTGATCCATAGAGAAGGGAACAGAGGCCCAGGAAGGAAGGTCACACAGCTTATGAGTTGGTGATGGAGATGGGATTAGACCATTCCATTAGACTTTAAAACACATGGCTTATTGGGGCCCTAGAGAACACCTAGTAATTCAGGTTGCCTGGTGCCTACAGTAAGTCAGTAGGTTGTGAGAGGAAAGGTGTACATGACAGAATTATATTATTCATAATATCTGGGTGGTTTTTTTTTCTGCCTTCCATGTACCAAAACCTGGGCTAAGCATTTTTATATATTACCTCATCAAAACGAACAGCACCTTTATCAAGCGATTACCCCTATTTTACAGATAAGGAAACTAAATGTCAGAGAGTTCAATAATTTTCCCAAGATCACGAAGCCAATAAGTGATGGAGTCATGACTTAAATTCAGGTCTTTTGGTGACACAACCCAGACTAATTGGGAAAGAGCTTCATGGGTAAATCGTGAGTCATACTTAATTTCAATTCCTGGTGACATAATGAGGGTACAAATTTTCAATTTTTTTTTTCTTTTTTTTTTGCCATGGGCAAGTTCCAAGCCTGGGCTTCTCTTCCAACACTGTCCCTCCCTTCCCTGTATAGTTCTGCTCACTTGTCCTGTCTTCTTGCTCTGTCCTCTATGCCCACATGTATAGAACTGGATCCCCAATCAAGGCTAACTGCTAGCCTTAAAGAAAGACCAATCTTCTGGCAGATAAGAAGGACTGTTAAGGAAGACGAGGGGACAGGAAAGCAAGGGGAATGTCAAAGAAATAAGGGGCCTGGCCAATATCTCAAGAACAGAAGCAGCTGTGGCCCTGGAAGGGCGAGGGGGACGTCATTTCCTTTTCCAGATCCCTTTTTTCCTTTGAGGTTCAGTCCCAAATGGGTAAAGTTCAAATACTAGTCTTACTCAGAATTCCCTAGTCCTGCTTGCTCAAAAGGTGGATTTTCTGGCCTCACTCCAATCTTCAAAACATCTTTTTGTGGGGCTTGAGAGTCTGCCTTTTAAAATAGCACCCCAGAGAGTCTACACATTGAGGGCCTTGGCTTCTGTAATGCAGTTACATCCATGGGCTTTCGCTGTTGCTGCTGAGAGAACTTGGGGTGCCAGGAAGTCGGGGTTGGATGCCTTCCAGTTCCCTGCCCTAATCAGAGGCATTGACCTGGAGGCCCTGTGTAGGAGTCCCCATCTTTCGGAATTAGTGATGTGGTTAGAGTAGCAACGTGACTCTCTGTGGACGGAAGAAGGTAGGTCGGATGTGAGAGTCTCCCTCCATGAACATGTGTGCGTCATCTGAGTCAAAGCTTGTATCTTTACTCTCAAAAACAAGTCATTTTTGTTCCTGTCAGCATCTTGGCCAGCCCACAACAAAGAGTACAAGCTGGATGCTTGTACTGTGCTGCGATAAAGAGGCCCAGACACAGGCCTCAGGTGATCCTACAGAGCATGGCTGGAGAGAACAGGAAAGGATTATTCCCCTGGGGGCTGATGGGGCTGCCTTCAGCAACACAAAAACATGCTTACAGAAAACTGCTGGAGGACATAGGAGTGATCTGCTTGCAATGAGGTTTTTCAACCACCAGGAATGGGGTGACCTAGTCCAGAGCCCTCTAATAAAGTGACTTTCAAACTGACTGCACTTCAAAATAATCCTAAGCTTTAACAAATAGAGATGCCCAGGCTTCATCCCAGATGTACAAAATTCAACTCTCAGGGACAGGGTCTGGGACTCTGTGCAAAGCCCCCTGGGAATTCTGGAACAACTAATCTGGCATTGCTCTAGGAAATAGCACTTGGAAAGCACTCCAGCAAGGTGGGAGGGAAAATTATTCCAGCTTGAACACTACAATATCAAGTAATCCTTTCTCTCTTCGCCCTGTCTCTTCCCTTCCCTTTCTTGCTCTCTGTAACAGGCAGGAGGCTCAGAAGAGCTTCTTCTCTCACGCTTCTTGCAGGGCAGTACAGGGAAAGATGTAGCTGTGTAAATTCCAGGAGGGCTTCAGGTATATTTAAATATGGGTTGCTTGCCACATTCACCTGCCTATCAAGTTTGCAGATGACAACTGCAGAATGTGGCACCCAGGTCTTGAAAGTCATGAAGCAGAATTGGATAACATCTGTCCGAGTCATGACAAAGAGGGTTCCTGTGCTGGGAGTGGGGGCTAATGAACCTGGAGATCCTTTCCAACACAGACATTCCCTGATGCCAATGATAACCTTTTCAAATTGTTGTTTTCTTGATTTTTATCTGTTTCTGGCACCTCATTTGATTCCCTATATGACAATAACCCCCAGGTTGAGTGCACTGAAATAATTTAGGTAATGAGAAGCTGAAAGTTACTACAGATGGAAGGAATTAGGGTGTATAAAGTGTGCATTGTGTGAGTCATAGGCTGTGTCTTTAAGCAACAAGCTTTTATTGGTGTCAGCATCTTTCCAGGTACAATGCAAACCCAGTGAGAATGAGATTTGGGGTTTAAAAGTGTTTCTGACCAGAGATGCCTGAGGGAATGACCCAGGGATCAAACAGAGATGCAAGAGAGCAAGGCTTCAAGGAAACTCACCTCAGCCTGTTTCCTCAACTGCTTTCCGCACCTTTGTTTGCGGGTGGAAGAATAGAAAATGGGCTTGAATTTTTCAATCTAAAATTCTCTGTTCAAACCTGAAATTCTCTTACCTTATAGGAAGAGCAGCTGTATCTTTCAAGGATAGAATGGGTGCTAACTGCATGGGTGAAATTATCTGAATCCCAGAGAAATGCTCTTTAGAAGAATCCACCAGACTCCTTCCTTTCTAAATCATACCCTTCTTTGAAGTTCCTTTCAATCCTTGGATCCTCTGTGGACACTGTTCTGATCATTCAAGCACTAAATGATCACCTGCTACCTGCTGTCTGCATACCTGGCTCTGCTTCTAGAGTACACACCTGTATCGGCACAATTTATTTAGCTATTAGTCATGTATGTGTTTCTGATAGCTCTCAGTTAGCTGCCTGGGATGGTTATTTACCTTTTTGTGCTAGTTTTACCTTCTCAATGGGACTTTGAGCAAATTAAGAGTGAAAACACATCTGTACTGATCCGTTTACATGTCCAATAAATAGATTTTAGTGCCAACTTGTGCAGCCATTGCTCTAGGTCTTGATACAGATATATACCAGGTGGTAGAGGCTATAAAGACAAAGCAGGCTAAGGGGAGTTAAGTGATAGATTCAGGAAAATCATTGAGCTGAAAAATGAATAATAACCTCATTCACTTTTTTCTGTTTATCAAAGAATGCCATATGCTAGATGCTAAAACAATTTACATCTGTGTGACTAGAGCAAGCCATTATAAAAAGGAAACAATCCAAATGGAAGAAATATTTTATCAGGCTGGAAAACACAGTTATTGAATTAAACTCCAAAATGGAAGCCATAGCTTACAAATGGACACTGCAGAAAACTGAATTAATGAGTAAAAGGCAAACTGAAGATAAATTTCCTAGAACACAAAAGCAAAAGATAAAGAAATGAAAATGAAAGAATAGAGTAAACGTGAAATACAGATATCAAAGAGCTAACCTACACATAACAGGAGTTCCTAAAGATAATGAACAGATTCTTTTGGAGCAGAAGCCATATGTAGAAAATATAATGGCTTTAAGTAAAATCTTATTTTAAAAACTGAATGCGCTTACTGTATTCATCAGGAGTCTGGATCGTGTCAGGCTCAGTTCAAACCAGCTTAAACAAAAAAGGAATTTTGCTGGCTCACTTAATGAAGTCCAAGGGTTCACTAGGAATCCATCCCTGCTGCTCTTGCTTTTTTCTGGGTTGCCATCATTCTTGGGAGGGTTGTTCCTGTAGGGTGACATTCAGTATCTCCAGACTCACATTCTCCCAGTTTACCAATCCCAGTGGAAAAGAGAGTTCTAATACATGTACCATTAACCTTGGGTTAATCCTCGTTGATTTTGATTGGCTTGGCTTGGGTCATGTACTCACCCTTGAATCAATCTATGCAATTGAGAAGCGTTGTTGCCTTAATTTCACCGGCAGCACACACCCACTCCTGGGATGAGAGGATGGGTCAGCTTTACCTAGAGTCATATGGACTGCAAATAAGGGAAATATCATTTCCCAGAGGAAAATGGGGTTGCTACTTTCAGAAGAAAGGGGGATGAATGCTAGGTAGGCTAAATAACATCACATTGGCAGATAGAAAAGAGCTACTACTCTGAAATATATTCAGGTAGAACTTTTACATCTAAAATACTACAAAAACTCAATAAATAAATAGGCAGGGAGAAAACAAGTCAAGCATTTTTCAGATTTATTTTCCATAACTCTAAATGTGAGAAGACAATGAAACAAAGTATTTTAATCTGTGAAGGAAAGAAGTTGTGTGACCTGAGAATTCTATGCCTAGGTAAATTGTCACTCATAACGTATGCACTCGGAAAATACAATTCCCGGAACTCTCCCTGAGCAAGCCAGTAAAAAATGTATCACAATAAGGATAAATTAGAGTTGGTACAAATTATCACCCAGTCCTATCATTCTACCTCTGAAATATATTACGATTTGGTCCCCTTTCCACTATCAATCTGGTATCGTGTTAGTCCAAGTCAATATCATATTTTATCCGGACCACTGTCACAGCCTATTAAGTTGCCTGTCTCTTCCACTCTCAACCCTTCTAAGCCATTTTGTACATGTCATCCAATGGTCTAGTAAACCAGATCATGTCACTTCCTTGCTTAAAATAATTTTAAAGCTTCTTATGGGTATTAGTTCGTTCTCCCACTGCTATAAAAACATACCCAAGACTGGGTAATTTATAAAGGAAAGAGGTTTAATGGACTCACAGTCCTGCAGGGCTGGGGAGGCCTCAGGAAACTTACAATCATGGCATAAGTGGAAGCAAACATGTCCTTCTTCATATGGTGGCAGGAAGAAGTGCTGAGCAAAGAGGGAAAAGCCCCTTACAAAACCAGCAGATCTCATGAGAACTCACCCACTATTACGAGAACAGCAGCATGGGGGTAACTGCTCCCATAATTGAATTACCTCCCACCAGGTCCCTCCCATGACATGTGGGAATTATGGGAACTACAATTCAAGATGAGATTTGGGTGGAGATACAGCCAAACCATATCCTATGGCATGTAGAGTCAACTCAAGTTCCTTACTATGACCTTCAAGACCTTGCCTGATTCCACCTCTGCAGTTATTCCCAGCCCAGCCACACTATCCTCTACTCACCATGCTATAGTCATATAGCCACTGATCAGTTCTTGCTGTGCACATGCTAAGCTCCTTCTTCTCTCAGGGCCTTCACTCATGCTGTTCCCTCAACCTGGAACTCTCTCCCCTCAACCCTTTCTTTTCCTGGCTCCTTCTTTCTCATTACATCTCAGCTTACTTATATCACCTCTTCAGATGTTCTCTGGTCTCAAAATCTGAAAATAAGTTTCCTTTGTTTTTTTGGCACCCTTATTTCAGACCACTAATCACAAATTGTAGCTATATATTTATGTGTTTAGTTGTGTTACATTTGTCTTCTCTTAGAGTATGAACCCCACAAAAGCAGGGACCATGTTTATTTTATTTGTCACTGAATTCCCAGGTCTTAGCACTGTGTATGACAAAGAAATGGTGTGCAATTTATATTTGTAGGAGGAAGGCAAAAAGAAACATTGAAATGGTGTAACTATATATAGAAGCAAATATATAGAAAGAAGTTATGGGAATTGATTTAACTATAATTTCTAAGGTGATGGTAAACTTTTTTTCTATTAAAGAGATGAACTATGATGTTAAAAAATGGAGCAGAAAGCATATTTAAAACAGTAAATAAACACATTCATTATATAGTGCTTTTGGTTCCTAATTTGGTGCCATAAAAATTGATATAGGCCAGGTGTGGCAGCTCATGCCTGTAATCCCAACACTTTGGGAGGCTGAGGCAGGCAGATCACTTGAGGCCAGGAGTTCAAGACCAGCCTGGCCAACATGGCGAAACCCTGTCTCTACTAAAAATACAAAAATTAGCCAGGTGTGGTGATATATGCCTGTAATCCCAGCTACTCTGGTGGCTGAGGCACGAAAATCACTTGAACCCTGAAGGCGGAGTTGCGGTGAGCCAAGATTGCACTACTGCACTCCAGCCTGAGAAACAGAGCGAGACTCCATCTAAACAAAAATAAACAACAACAAAAAACAAACCATACCAAACAAAAGATATTGACTGATGTGATGTGAAGCTCTGAGAGTAGAATTAACCGTGCATGTAGAGTGACTGTGGCCTTGAAGGAAGGATAGAATTCAGAAAATTAGGGAGAGGTATGAAGGGAATTGTGTGTGTGCGTGTGTGTGTGTGTGTGTGTGTGTGCCCATGTGCACGCATGGTGGGGTGAGGTAGGAAAAAACTAGGTGAGCAGAGATCTGGCACTGAGACAGAGTAAATGGAGTGAGGTGGGAGGGTGAGGAGCCCCTAAGACTTCCAGGTACAAGAAAACTCGCGGTAGGTTAAACTCACAGAGGGTAGTGTAGAAAGTGTTGCCATGAGGACAAAGCATCCACCTTAGAGGGGCTTGTTGCTATGTATGTGTGCCTGCAGTTGACACAAGTCTTAGCAGGAGTCCTAAGAAAAGGCTCCCAGCCCATTTGGTCTGTGGACAATAAGGACCCCTTGTGGTGCAACAAAGAAGGTGAGAGACAGATGTAGTGAAGAGGCTGCAGGGGCTAGAGATGCTGGCCAGGAAAGGACAGCCTGGGTGGGACATCATGAGTGAAGAGGGTGCATGAGGATTCTGTATGACAGAGAAGGAAGGCAGAAGGTTCTGGAAACAAACTTGTACTACTCCCCATGAACTCAAAAGCAGGTCTTGTTTAGGGAGAGAGAGCAAAGCTGCTCTCTGTTCTTGGCAAACAGTCTTTGTATATGTTGATCATGATGTCCCTCAAAGCAGCCCCCATGGGTGTTGCCCCCACTGCTTCACCTAGGAGCTGTGAAGAGTGGTAGATACAGCATTCCTAGGCAGCAGACCTGGGCTGGAATACCTGTCTCTGCTATTTGCTATCTGTGTAAACCCAAGCTGGTTCATTATCTTAAGACTGCTCTCATCTGAAAGGAAGGGATAATAATGCATGATTTCCACATACCTATGTGAGATCTCCACATGTGATAGGCTTTTTAGTCTGTACTGTTAGTTGTACTTGGTGTGGGGTGGGTGGGCATGAACTTCAGAAGATGCTGTCTGTGGGCCTGACCTCCACTGGCTTTTCCTGCAGGTCTTCACTTTAGCTCAGCTTCAAGGGAAGACTCTGTTGGCCAACTGGGTAGAATATTTCTCTGCCCAGCCCACAGTTCTGGTAGGGACTTCAAAAGATGATTTTATACTGCACCATTGTAGACTGAAAAAGTACCATACCAACCTCTGGGCATCTAACTAGTTTTAGGAAAACCACCAGAAAAGGTGAATCTGCCCTCTTGATCTACTGTAAGTAGCATGTAAAGTATAAGGCGGGTTGTGCAATTGGCACTAGATGGCACTGTAGCAGCCTGGGTGCATTAGATGAGACCTGCTTCAAACAAGAAATATAGTAGCTGGGAGGTGGGGTTGGGCCCAGGATAATGATAAGGACAAATTTCCATTAAATGACTTGCAAGATACTGTCCTTCATTTATAATGAGTCTGACAGGAACTTCCCCAGATTCATCAGTAGATTGCATGTTGCAGCTCAGCAATCACCACCAGGTGTGGAATCAACCATCCCAACCACGTTTGTGAAAAACCTTATAACAACTTCACTTGGGGCAGTTTCCTTCAAGGGAATGAATTCTCCTTCTCAAGACCCATCCCAACCTCTCTTTATTGCCACTTGCCTCACCATTAGGGTCGGATCTCACCCTTCTTTGGGGGTTGGAGGGCATGGACAAAGTCCGACTCAGAATAGTTTATACACTAAAAGAAGTGCAAGACTTTACTAATAAATACTGGCAGAATCTTGGGAAATATGTGTGAGAATAGATTCTAAGGGTGTTAGACCAAGGAGGATAGACTATAGCACTGGATTGGATTGAATTTATTGGGGGTATTTATGAGACATTCTGGGTTTAGTGAGCTAGCTCTTGTAACTGGAAGTGGCTCTAAAATTTCTTGGTTGGCTGACTAAACCTTGGACTCAATGGTGGCATATGTTCAATAAGGCTGGAATGCCAGAACTTCCCTGACACAATGTAGAGGAAGGCATCCAAGACTTAAGGAGGAAGGAATGATGGAGTGACTTTATCACATGAAATCTCTACATCTACCAGCCTCACATCCATCCCCCAGAATGCCTAGAGGACAATCCTTTCATAAAGACATTAAGAAACACATTGACGAAGGTAGCACTTGCATCTCTGAAAAGCTCTGTGGTGGCTGTCTTCTATAAGCCAGGTATGATGGTGAAAGACACCTCCATTGAGTTGAATCTCTGATTTTAATAGAAATGATGAGACTCCCATATAGCAGAGGCCAAATGCTATAATTTAACCATTAGAGACAAGGGGACTGCAAATACTGACATAGTTTGGATGCCTGTCCCCTCCAAATCTCATGCTGAAATGTGATCCCCAATGCTGGAGTTGGAGGTGGGGCCTACTGGGAAGTGTTTGGGTCAGGGGGACAGATCCTTCATGAATGGCTTGGTGCCCTCCTCAGAGTAACGAGTGAGTTCTCACTCTATTTGTTCACCTGAGAGCTAGTTGTTTAAAAGAGCATGGCATCTCTCTTGCTTCCTATCTCACCATGTAACATGCCCCCTTTGCTTTCCACCATGATTGGATTCTTCCTGGATCCCTCACCAGAAGCAGATGCCAGTGCAATGCTTCTTGCACAGTCTGCAGAACTGCGAGCCAAAATAAACCTCTTTTCTTTATAAAGTATCCAGCCTCAGGTATTCCTGTATAGAAATGCAAAATAGACTAAGATAAATACCATAAAAAACAGAAAGGGCATAGTGATAATCAAACTGTTTTGAAACCTAGAGATTTTTAGTGAGGCGAATTGATCATGGTGCATCTAGGAATGAAAAAGATGGCCAGCTACTAAAATGTCATCTGAACTATATAAAAAGTTTGGTGACCCCCACCTCTACTAAAAATACAAAAAAATTAGCCAGGTGTGGTGGCAGGAAACTGTAGTCCCAGCTACTCAGGAGGCTGAGGCGGGAGAATGGCGAGAACCCAGGAGGTGGAGCTTGTAGTGAGCCGAGATCTCGCCACTGCACTCCAGCCTGGGTGACAGAGCAAGACTCCGTCTCAAAAAAAAAAAAAAAAAAAAAGTTTGGTGACCAAAAACTTGAGCTGCCTTTCATTCTATTTCCAGACCTAGGCCAGTTCCAGACTTAGAATCTCTTGATTGAAGGTGGACAAATGACGCATCCTGTGGATTTCAGTTAATATCTTTCTCCAGCTATTCTTGTGCTTGCTCAATGGCCCTGAGCATAAAGTGGCCATAATGTCAGGGATGAGGACTATGCATGGATTTAACAACATGGACTTACCCTAGTCAAGGCTTTTTTGAATACCAACACTGCTGAATTCCTAGCTTGCCAACTAAAGTAAGCCTCTGTTATGGTACAACTCCCTAAAAGTCCCAGCCAGCCCCCAGGGGCAGATTGATTACAGTGCAACCCTTCCATCATGGAGGGAAGGAAAAATGTTTCCTTAGTGCAGGAGATATGAATTCTGAGTGCAGATTTGCTTTCCTGTCCAAAAATCTTCTGGCAGCTGTGACTACAAAATATGGTGTACTGCATACAACATTTCTTCTGATCAAGAAAGTAATTTCAAAAGAACTGCAGCAATGGGTTTATGCCCATGGAATTAACTGGTACAACCACATATGCTAATCCCCAGAAGCAGATGGCTTAATAGAAAGATTTGATGGTCTACTGAAGATTCAGTTATGGTACCAGTTGGGAGATTACAGTCTGAAGGGATGGGGTTCTACATTACAGGATGTAGATTATACTTTGAATCACAGAACCAACTATATGGTTCCATATTTCCTGTAGCCAGACTACACAGGTCTGCGAATCAGGGGTGGAAGAGGGACTAGCTCTTCACACTCTCACATCTCATAGCCTACTCACAGAATTTTTGCTTTTCATCCCTGTGCCTTTGAACTCTGTTGGTTTGGAGTCTTGGTTCCTAAGGAACAAATGTCTCTACCAGGAAATACATCAATGTCCCATTGGTTTGGAAGATGAGACTACCATTTGGCCATTTGGGGATCCTCATGATGCCAAACCAACAGGCTAAGAAGAAGGTTACTCTATGACTGGGGCGACTGATTACCAAAGTGAAATTGGATTGCTGCCACTCCATGGGCCCAAAGAGGACAATATCTGGAACCCAGTGGGATTTTCTGGGGTGCCTTTTAGGATTTTCATGTCCAATAGTAAAAGTTAATGGAAGATGACCACTTCCCCAGCCCCTGGCTAAAGGCATAACCACTGATGATTCAGACCCTTCAGGCCAGATGGATTACCCCACCACATAAAAAACCCCAACCGTGTGAGGTGCTGGATGAAGGCAAAGGAAACATAAAATAGGCAGTGGAAGAAGGAAGTTATAAATATAATTATGGCCTCATGACTAGTTAGTTGCTTACTGTGTGTATTTGTATATATTAATTATTTTATTCTTTCTTCTTATTCATATCATTTTATACAGGTTTTGTTGGAAGTTAACTTTGCAATTTGGTTTTTAGAAAACATATTCAGATGGGACTGTGACTGAATTTGAGAAGTAATTCAAACGGATACAATGACTTGAGACTTTATAATCCTGAATTTGGGGAGAAGGTGATGCTCGCCTGTTTTATATGCTGAATAGTTGCATTTTGTTGGGAGGAAATGAATTGTTTTGTGGTTGTATAAAAGTTCAAATTTTTGTGGAGCAGTGTAATGGATGCTAAATAGCCAAAGGGGTGGACTGTATCAGTTATTGCCTCTCAGTTCTAAACCCAACCTTCTATAGTCTGCTTTGTGATCCTAGAGACCGGACCCTAAAAACCACATTTCTGCATTGCCAGTTGGCTCTGCCAATAGGGGCACTAGCTGGAGACTTCAAAGCTGGAGGCAGAAAAAGGGGTTTTCTCCTTCCTATATGCTTCCTGAGGGTTTCCCGTCTGCTTGTGGTTCCTGTGAGTGTTACCCCAGAGAAGCTCCTTCATCATAACTTTTTTTTTCCCTTGTAGCAGCAGCTAAATCTAGTTTTCAGTTTTTCTGACTTGCAGAATCAGCTTCAGCATGTGTCCCTTGGGGACACCAGCAATAGCCAGCCAGTGTCTCTTCTGCAGAGATTTGGATCCTAATACCCTGGATCCCTCCCTGTGAACTAAGACAACAAGCACTGGCCAAGCAATGCCTCTTACAGATCTGAGTTTCAGTTCCTTGGGGCTTCTCTACTGTTTCTAATTTTTAATAATTTTAACCTTTTCTCTTTGCCTCTTGGCTCTCAGCAGTTGCAACCTTTATGATATTTTAGAGTTCTCTTTTAACTTTTTTTAGTTACTGTGGTTGTTAGTTTTATATATCAGTTTGGCTTGGCTGTAGTACCTAGTTATTTAATTAAGCACTAATCAGGTATTGTTGTGAAGGTATGTTGCAGAGCTACACTAAATTGACTTTAAGTAAAGGAGATGGCCCTCAATAGGGTGGGCGGGCCTCATTCAATCAGTTGAATGACCTGAAGAGCAAAAACTGAGGTTTCCTGGAGGAAGAAGAAATTCTCAAGACTGCAAATTAGCTCTTGCGTGACAGTTTCCAGCCTGCCAATCTGCCCTACAGGTTTCAGGCTTGCTAGCCCCCATGGTTGTATCAGTTAATTTCTTGAAATAAATCTTTTTATATATAGTAAGAGATGCTGGTTCTGTTTTTCTGAAGATCCCTGGCTGATATAGTTATCTAGTTAGTATCTTTGTACCTATTTGCATATATTTAAAAAACTGTTGTGGTTTCCATCTCCTGATTGAACTCTAACTGATTCAAGCAATGCACAATTGGAAGTTTTCAATAAAGACTCCTATACTAAGTGTAAGTTTGAACGGCAATTATGAGCACAGATTGCAGCCAGTAAATATTAATAGAACATTGCTTAGGCAGAGAATATGCCAAACCCAAGTATGTAGCTTAGAAGAGCAGCAAGAGAAAATGGTTAACACATAGAGCAGGTAAACAGCATTCTGCAGAGGATAATGGAGGGAATCAGAATGCTTTGGGCCTGGCGTGGTGGCTCACACCTGTAATCCCAGCACTTTAGGAGGCTAAGGTGGGCAGATCACATGAGGCCAGGCATTCGAGATCAGCCTAACCAATATGGCGAAACCCTGTCTCTACTAAAAACACACAAAAAATTAACCAGGCATAGTGACGGCCCCCTGTAATCCCAGCTACTCGAGGGGCTGAGGCATGAGAATCACTTGAACCTGGGAGGTGGAGGTTGTAGTGAATCGAGACTGTGCCACTGCACTCCAGCCTGGGCAACAGAGTGAAACTCTGTCACACACACACACACACACACACACACACACACACAATTCACTTTGAACATATGCAGAGTGGAAGCACGACTACTTTCTATGAATAGCAATGTGAGTCCTACTAGGACAGGACTGTGTCAATGCAGAAGAAAAAGCAAATGGAACCCCTTGGGTCAAATAGAAGATTAGAAGTTAGAAAAGAGGAAACAACCCTGGATCACAGCAGAAGTTACTTACTTGAGACAGTTCTGTGTCACTAATCATCTGAAACCTTAGAGACCTAAAACAACAACAATCATTTATTTTGCTCACAAATATACAATCTGGGCAGGGCTCAGTACAGATAGGTCATTTCTGTTCCATATAATTTTAGCTGAAACAGCTCAATGAGGACTGCCAGATCCACTTTCAAGATATTTCATTCATATGGCTGAGGCTGGCTCTCTGGGAGCTCTGCCAGAGCAGTGGGCTGTGAACCTCCTTCCCATGTGAGTCTATCTCCAGGATGTTTGGGATCATTTATGGCTGGGTTCCAAGAACAAACAGCCTGAGAGAGAAAATGAGAAACTGATGGAGTCTTAATGTCTGGACCAAAAAAACTTGGTTCTGCTGCATTCTATCAGTTAAGTGGTCACAGTACCCAGATTCGAGGGCAGGAGATATAGATGTCATGTCTCAGTGGGAAGAATGTCAAATAATTTTGGTACCATGTTTTAAGATGGCCACAGAGGAAATAATTAGAACAGGCAGCCAAAATTTTACTCTTGAGAATTCCTAATAGGCCAAGTTAACTGCTAAATAAAGTGTATGTAGTTCTCTTTGGATTGGGTGGATTTAGTCACACAAGTCCTTTTAAAATCCTGAGTTAAAAATATTCCTTTTTTTACTATTATTTATGACTCAGTTAGGTCAATCCTACCTGATTATCCACCACGATTTTGGAGATTAACATCAGCAAAATAGGAGTAGCATAATCCTATATGAAACGTAGTCTTGGTAAGAAAATGACACCAAGCAAGTCATAACCAGACATATCTTAAAAGCAACTATATAAAAGAGACATCCATGGGAGAGGAAGAAAGATAAAAATGATAGCAAATTTCTCATTGGAAGTAATGCAAATAAGAAGATGGCAAAGCAGTATCTTTAAAGTACAGTAAGTCCTCACTTAACATTGTAGATAGGTTCTTGAAAATGGCAACTTTTAGCAAAATGATGTACAGCAGGCCCTCGAATAACATTGTTTCCTTCGACATTTTTTCATTACAATGTTGATGAGAAAAAAATGCTTTTATTATACGTTGTTTTGTTTAAAGTTTCCAAGAACCTACTGATGACATTGAGGACCTACTGTACTGAAAACAAAACAAAACAAAACAAAACAAAAAAACCTGCCAGCCTAAAATTCTGTATCCAGTGAAATTATCTCTGAAAAATAAAGATGAAATAAAGGCTTTTCAGGCATATAAAAGTTGAAAAAATGCATTGCCAGCAGACCTGCACTAATGTCCTTTAGGCAGGAAGAAAATGATATCAGATGGAATTCTGAATATATGCAAAGAAATAAAGGGCACTGGAAATGGTACTACATGCGTAAATGTATAAGATTTTAAGAATATCTTTAAAAGATAATTATTTTTAAAAAATAATGTACTTTGGAATTTATAAAATAGGTATAGGTAAAATGTATGAAAATAATAGCATAAAAGCTGGGAGTGAAGAAACGGAAGTACACTATCATAAGGCTCTTATACCTTACATGAAATATATAGTATGATTTGAAGGCAGACTGTGGTGAGTTAAAAGCATATGGTACATATGAAACCCTAAAGCAGCCACTGCCACTAATATAATAAAACAAAGTTATATACAATAAGTCAACAAAGGAGATAAAATGGAATAATGAAAATACTTAATGAAATCAAAAGAAGGCAGAAAAAGGGGCAAAGGTATTTAAAAAAAGATGGTACAAATAGAAAACAAATAGCAAGAGGATAGCCCCAAACCTAGCCATATCAATAATCACATTAAATACAAATGGCCTAAATATGACCATTAAAAAGGAGACATAATCAGACTGAATTTTTAAAGAAAATACGTGAGAACAAACTATATGAGAGACATACTTTAAAAACACAAATAGGTTAACAGTGAAAGAATGCAGAAAATGGAGAAAGATATACTATGCTAATGAACTGTCCCTCAGTGAGTTAAAGAAACCAATGACTAAATTTTTGGGCTTATAAGATAGCAGATAAGAAAAGAAACAACTTGCTGAAAAGCTGAAACTGAAACTGTGCACCAAAGAGTAAGAAACCAGTAACTAACAGAAACTCTTGAGCTGGCAGGATATCAGATAAGAAGCAACTTGCTGAAACGCTGAAACTCCCTTGGCTTCTGATATCAAGAAAAAAAAACTGGCTGAAATCAGTTGGAACCAAGATGGCCTACTGGAGTTTGCACAGAATGAGCTTGCTGACATCACAGCCTAAATTTCCACCATATGTTTCATACTAACTCCCCCTGATTTGCACATGAGACCTGTGATCTAGCATGAAGAGATAACTGCGCATGCCTAAGGACTTTCCAGACCTCCCTTTCCTTCCACCAATCACCTACTGATCTCAGAATCTACCCCCTGAACTTTTCCTAAAATAAATATTGTCTTGAAGCCAGCACAGGGAGACAGATTTGAGCTTGACACTCTTATTTTCTTGTGAGTCAACTTGCAATATAAAGCTTTTCTTTTCTCAAAAACTCAATGTCATTATATTGGCTTCTAGCACATCCAGCAGCAAGACACTTTTGTGCAGTAACACTAATAATGGTCAAAAGAAAGCTGGCTATCTACATATGTCTACCTATTTATCTAGAGGCATAAATCTCATCTATATCTCTATCACACATATTTCAGAGAGGCATATTACCAGGGATAAAGAAGGTCATTTCATAATGATAAAGAGGTAAATTTATCAAGAGGACATAACAGTCTTAAGTGTTTATGCACCTAATAACAGAGCTTTAAAGTAGATAAAACTTCACAGAACTACAAGGAGATATAGAAAAATTTACAATTATGGTAGAAGATTTCTTTTTTTTTTTTTTTAATTTGAGACAAAGTCTTTCTCTTTTGCCCAGGCTGGAGTGCAATGGTGCAATCTTGTCTCACTGCAACCTCTGCCTTCTGGGTTCAAGCGATTCTCCTGCCTCAGCCTCCTGAGTAGCTAAGATTGCAGGCGTGTGCCACCACTACCAGCTAATAGTAGTATTTTTAGTAGAGATGGGGTTTCACCATGTTGGCCAGGCTGGTCTCAAACTCCTGACCTCAAGTGATCTGCCTGCCTCAGCCTCCAAAAGTGCTGGGATTGCAGGCGTGAGCCACCACGCCCGGCCAATTATGGTAGAAGATTTCAATACCCATTTCTCAATAATCCATAGAATAAGGAGGCAGAGTTAGCAAGGATATAGTAGACTTAAATAACACTGTCAACCAAGTTGGCCTAATTAACATATATAGAACACTCTACCTAACAATATTAGAATGTTCATCCTTTTTGAGTGCAAACAGAATCTTTACCAAGACAGACCATATTCTGGGCCGATAAACTGGAAGTAGCTCAAATGTCCATCAGAAGGAGAATGGGCAAACAAATTGCGGCATAGCCATATAATGGCTACTACTAAGCATTAGAAAGAAATTAATTGGTCATACATGCAACACCATGGACAAATCTCAAGATAATTATGTTCAGTTGAAACCAGACAAAAAAGACTACATACTGTATGATTCTATTTACATAATATACTAGAAAACCCAAATTAGTCTATACTTTCGGAAAGCAGATTAGTGCTTGCCTGAGCAGGGTTGGAGTGGGGATGTGGGTGAGAGGGTAGGAGAAAAGGATTAAAATAGAGCAGGAGAAACTGCTGGGGCTACTGAGTATGTTCACAGTTTAATTGAGGTGATGGTTTTATGGATGTCTGGATATGCCAAAGCTTATCAAATTGTACACTTTCGTTACAATAAAAAGTCAGCCCATTTAGAAGTTTATAAAGAAAAGTGAAAATTGTTTCTCTGCTCCAGATCTTACTTAGGTTTAGAGTTTGTATTTTCTTTCTTTCTTTCTTTCTTTTTTCTTTTTCTTTCTTTTTTTTTTTTTGAGGCAGAGTCTAGTTCTGTCGCCCAGACTGGAGTGCAGTGGCATGATCTTGGCTCACTGCAACCTCCGCCTCCCAGGTTCAAGCGATTCTCCTGCCTCAGCCTCCTGAGTAGCTGGGATTACAGGCACCTGCCACAGCGCCCAGGTAATTTTTGTATTTTTAGTAGAGATGGGGTTTCACTGTGTTGGCCAGGCTGGTCTCGAACTCCTGACCTCGTGATCTGCCTGCCTTGGCCTCCCAAAGTGCTGGGATTACAGGCGTGAGCCACCACACCCAGCTTATTTTTTCTTTTAAGGGATGGGTCTTGCTGTGTTGCTTGGGCTGGCCTCAAACTCCTGGGCTCAAGCAATCCTCCTGTCTCAGAGTTTAGCATTTCTTAACATCATCTTAACCCACACTGTTCAATATAATAACCTACTAGCCACAAGTGGCCATCCAAATTTAAATTAATTACAATTAAAATGTAAAACTGGGCTGGGTACAGTAGCTCACGCCTGTAATCCCAGCACTTTGGGAGGCTGAGGCGGGCAGATCACGAGGTCAGGAGTTCCAGATCAGCCTGGCCAATATGGTGAAACCCCATCTCTACTAAAAATACAAAAATTAGCCGGGTGTGTTGGTGTGTGCCTGTAGTTCTAGCTACTCGGGAGGCTGAGGCAGAAGAATCCCTTGAACCTGGGAGGCGGAGGTTGCAGTGAGCCAAGATGTGACACTAACTCTACCCTGGGTGACAGAGCAAGACTCCGTCTAAAAAAAAAAAAAGGAAAACTCAGTCCTTAGTTGCAATAGGCACATTCCAAGAACTCAATAGCCATTTGTGGCTAGAGGCCAACATATTGGAGAGTTCAGATTATAGAACATTTCTGCCATTAGAGAAAGTTCTTTTGGATAGCTTTTTCCTGGGCTATGTAGAGACTCAGCACTATTACAAGCAACTTAGATCTTTCACTGGCCGCTTATTGAGCACTTACTTTTGCCAGAAACTGCCAGGTCCTTTATATGAATTATCTCTAATTCTTGCAGGGAAAGACTAAGAGAAGCTTGAATAATTTTCCAAGGGTCGCAGTTACTAACTGGTATACCTAACATGTAAACCTATGTCTATCTAACCCCAAAGCCTAAGTTCTTATGTGGGTCTCATATCTCCTGTGACTGGGCCATCCCCCTTTCCTTCTATACTTGTGAAGGATTCTTTTCATATTCAACCATGGAGTCTTATATTTATCCCTCCTAAATTTTGTCTTGTTGGATTAAGCTTATTGCTCCAGATTGTCAAAATATTTTAGGATCCTCATCCTGTCATTCCATATGCTCACTCGCCTTCCAAGCTTCATGTATTTACTGACTTTGATAAATATGGCCCCCCTAAACTTCATCTGAGTGATCGATAAAAATCATTGCTAAGACAAGGGAAAGGATGAAGGCCTGTGGTCGGCTATCAGAAACCCTCCCGCTTGAGGTTGACATCAGTTTACCAGTCTGTAACCTTCAAGATACCAGCATACCAACCCATTTCTACTCTTATCTCCAGATTCTGAGGGATATGTTCTATATTTGGAGCCTAAAGACCTACTAGCACCATCTAGAATCATATGCTGGTTATAAATGACTTCCAGATGTTAGCCAAACAATGTTTGCTTCTAACCAAACATAAGGGCCAGAAAGATCAAGATATTGGCACCAGTGTTGATGCTTGTCATTTCCACTTAGCCCTCCTTGCTGCCCTCACCTCTAAAGTGGTTGTTTGATAATTTGTTGCTAAAAGCAAACCATCCCACAACAGCGGCTTCAAATAATAGCAATCATTTATTTGCTGATGAATTTGAAATGTGGACATGGCTGGGTGAGAACAGTGGGCCTCTACTTTACTGTGGCATTGGCTGAGCTTAAAGAACAGCTGTGGACTGGCACAATGAGGTTCCTCTAGCACAACTCTGAGAGTCTTGTCAGCTTTTCTCATGGCTTCCTGCCGCCTCCTCCCCACCCCGCTTTCAAACACTGCCCATATTGACCAACATGTGTTTCCCACAATGTGCCATCATTGACCATCTCTAGGGCTCCATCCAGTGTGCCTGTCCTTTTCCATGAATCCTCAAAGACTCAGCCAAGGTGTCACCTC